>NC_000003.12:89100909-89403939 GCF_000001405.40 Homo sapiens
GACTGGAGCAGTAGGTTAGTTTTGAAGTTTACTGGGAGATGAGTTTGAATAGACTGAGCCATGTATTCCCACTTTTTTTTTTTTTTACCATATCTGACTTTTTAATATTGTAATGTCTCTATTTGAATATATTATACATATTTACACTAATTTTCCAAATCAACCAATGTATTTTAGAACTTTGCTGCAAAGTGTCATCACTTGCAGCAGACATCATCACCTCGGAGCTTGTTGGAAATGCAGAATCTCAGGTCCCGCTCAAGATTTCCTAAATAAAATTCTGCATTTTAACATGCCCTGCTCTAAGAAAATACTATTGGATAGTGTATGGTCTTTCTTGTTGATGGGTACAATATTCCATATGTATGTGTATGATGAATATACATATGTATGTATATTCATAATTATTTCTCAAAAATGGGTTTTAAAAGGACTACTATATAAGTCCTGTCTCATCCAAAACATTCCCTTCACTCCTCCACCATCTCAAGCCCCATATGCTCTTGCTCAGAGTTTGCTCAGAGCCTTGGGATGTTTTCCTTAGATGTTAAGATGAACTCTTGGCTTGTTTTGACTGTCTTTTGGCAAGAGAAACAGAAGAGTAGGAAGTAGTGATAGTAGTAAAATTTGTTTTAAAAATGGAAAAATGTTTCAGAAGTAATTATAAAATTGAATGTAAGAGTATGTTTTAAATAGCATTGGTTTATCCTAACCAGCAAATCACATTTATAAGTCTTTTTTTGCTTTTTTGGACAGCTTTATAACAATTGGATTAAATCTTTCTAATTTATAATCAGCATTTTTCAATTAATTCGGGCATGCTAATTTTTATATTGATTGCATAAACTTGCATGTTTACAACATATTAATTCAGTGGATATCAGTTAAAATACAGTAAATTAATTTGTGCCATCTGCTGTGACTATTTTCAAAGCCAAAATTTAGTAATTGTCCTGAAAAATCACTGTCCTTCAAGAAGCTTTCTTAGATTCTGAGATTATTCCATTCTTCTAATCACCTTCAAATACTTAGGCACCAAAGATTTCCTGTAGGGTTTCCCATAAGTATTTTTTCTATTTTTTTAATAATTTTTTTTATACTTTCTCTATTGTTTCCTTTGACCCTGTGAACATAATGATGTCACTAATGTTTGACTCTTTCTCTAACTGTAAAATGATAGGTTCTAAAAAATTTTGCAGCTGTAAACATAATTTTCTGGGAGAGAATTCCCAATCTTGTCATCTTTCCACTCACTGGAAAGACTGTTTTTAGTTTTGACCAAACTTTACATCTGTTTCGGTTGACTGTCCCCTTCTGGAAATTTTCATCTCTACTGTCCTCTCTGACTCATTCTCTTTACCTTGTTTTACAATATTTACTCCTATTCAGTTAATTGAGATAATTATTCAGTTTCCTTCTGCCTTTTGGATACTCTGTTTAATCTAAATCGAGGTTGGTTGCGATGGCTCATGCCTGGAATCCCAGCACTTTGGGAGGCCGAGGGGAGTGGATTGCTTGAGCTCAAGAGTTTGAGACCAGCTTGGACAAAATAGCAAAACCCCACCTCTACAAAAAAACATGAAAGTTAGCTGGGCATGCTGGCACACTCCTGTAGTCCCAGCTACTGGGGAGGCTGAGGTAGAGGGAACACTTGAGCCCAGGAGGTAGAGGCTGCAGTGAGCCAAGATTATGCCACTGCGCTCAGTCCTAGGTGACTGGGTGAGAATGTCTCAAAATAATAATAATAATCTGAATTGTACACTGGGTTCTCTTTTTCCCTCATTGTTCATAGTCTTTCTGGGCAATTACATTTACTCTCATGGATTAAACTACTTTCATTTACCAATAATTTCCTAACTTGCAGTTTATGCCCTTCTGGGTTTCTTATTTTCTATTAAACTACTGGCTTTATTGATTGCACTTAGATCTCACCAGGTTGTAAATAAAAAATTGATATTTTCCCCCCTTTTCTCTACCTCCCAAATTTGAACCACCATATTTCTTGTCAATTAATTGCATCACTAATCAGCTAAGCACAGCAGAAGGAAACATGTCAGCCTCTTCTATTTTATAATACTCTCATTGGATCTCACTTACCTCTTTTCCGGGCTTCTCATCTCTTCTAAGCTTACCTTCTTGAAAGCACAGAATATGTACTATTTCTATATCCTCACTTACCATTTACTTCTTTATCTTAATTGAACTTGTGGTCCCATTACTATACCAAAAGTATCACGAAAGTCATCAAAATCTTCCCTGTAGAAAGAGGCATTCATGTTTGAAGGAAACTTACACGAGTGTCAAAATGAGCACAAAGCAAAACCAAGCCTGGGAATTAACATAAACAATATAGGATATTGAAATAGTAGACTCTCCAGATTAAGATACATCAAACATTAAGTAAAGAGTTTTTATAACCTGAGCACCATTCTGGATAGATGTGAAAAAGAGGGATGTCAACAGAGAAGAACAATAAATTTAGCTGCTATGGGAGTGGGAAGGATAGAGGTAAGGGCACCAGGTTCAGAGAAGGCCTCATCCAAAATGTTGTCAAATTCAATTGTGACTTTTCAGTCACCTTTTTGGATTTTTTTTTTTTTTTGGCTTGCACCACAGCTAAGAATGAATTATTTTTCAAAATTTTCACAAGCTTGATTTCTAATAAGTTATTTTTTCTAGTCCTTTGCTATTTATTTCTACCTGCCTTTTAAATACAGGTGTATGCTAGGGCTTCATCCTTGGCCATCCAGCTGATCTTCCTACCAACACTCTGTCACCCAGGCTGGAGTCCAGTGATGTGATCTTGGCTCACTGCCACCTCTGCCTCCAGCGCTAAAGAGATCCTACCACCTCAGACACCCCAGTAGCAGGGACTCCAGGCATGTGTTACCATGCCTGGCTAGATTTTGTAGAGATAGGCTTTCTCCATGTTGCCCAGGCTGGTCTTGAACTCCTGTGCTCAAGCAATCCACCCACCCATCTCGGCCTCCCAAAGTGCTGGGATTATAGGGCTGAGCCTCCACTCCAAGCCTATTTTCATATACTAATGATTTCCAAAGAAATAACTCCACTTAGGTCCTTTTCTCCTAATATTTCATTTACCCTCTGCTTTCCCTCAGGTCTTTCCAACTAGACATATGTAAAACAGAAACCTTTACATTCCACGTCTGTTTTCTATCCTCAAACCTCTCTTACTCCTCACTAACTCTTCATTCAAGCCAGGAATTGAAAGGCCTTCTACGCACTACCGTCTGCCTAATTTCTCATAATCAATCTATTATGAAGTGTTGCCATTTCTCCCACTTATATGTGCCTGGTTTCAGTTCTACTGTTACTGCTCAGTGTCACACTCTCTAGATCTCTCTTTTGGATCAAGATTTTTTAAAAACAGTATTGAATGCTTTTAATAATTCAGACACTAGGCTAACACTTTATCTGTACCATCCCAAATCTGATATAATCCTTACAACATTCCGATGAGATAGGATCTGTTATTATCTGGATTTCACTAAGAGTGACAGAGCCAGGTCAGTGACCTAGATTGCTCTGATTCAAGAGCCCCACTGGTAACCTCTACATGGTATTGGCCATCCTACTGGAAAGGGCTCCTAATTTGTCTTTTGGCTTCTCATTGGAGTTTTCACTTTCATTTTCCCCTCCTTTCTTAAATATGTCAAACTGATCTTTCTAAAATGCAAATTGAACTATTTCTGCCTTGCCCCTCAGCACCCCTGTCCAAGCTTTTTAGAGCAGCTAATACAACTCTTCATGACCCTGCTTCTTCCTAGCCGGTGTCTCCTCTTTCCCATACCCGCTGACACAATTTCGAAATCTATACTCTAATAATAGAGACATTTGTCATTTCCTCCAGAAATCTTGTTTTTCACTTTTCTTTAAAATGCCCCTTTTCAGTTTCCTCTCAATTGCCATCTCCCCCAGGGAACTGTTAATTCCTAACTTGAGTTATGTACTAAATCCAGTTTTCCTTGGGGGAGTATTGTTTGTTTAACCTAAAATGGTCTTCTCATTTTCCCTTTTATCTTTCTTCTTTCTGAGAGATCCTAGTTCAGTTCCTTATCACTTCAGTCTTACTTGAAAAATAGCCTGAAGTCTAACTGGCCTACCTCTAATATTCCCTCCTTCACATTGGGCAGTGGTTCTCCAGGGACCCCAAGGATTACCTGAGAAGCTTTTGTGAAATTGCAGATTCCTGGGTTCCAACCTCGGAGGTTTAGGTCCAGTAAGTCTGTGGTGGGAAGAAGGCATCACTTCTTAATAAGCATTGCACCCAGGTGGAGACATCCTGTTTTATGCTATTAGTAAACTTTTGTCCCCAGACTGAGACATGATCAATTTACTACTTGCTGAAATGCTTTTGATGTCTCTCTTTAGTTTAAAATATATTGTAAAATCATTGACATGTGGCATCGAAATCTCTGTAGTTTTCAACCAGTCCTTTGAAGAATATTTCCCTACATTTTGTCTCCAATCCATACCTCCTCCTATTCCGGCCCTTTACCTACCACAAATACTCTAATATACTCTGTATTCCATATGTGCCAAATGCTTTCATTTTTGGCTCACTTGGACACTCTCTGGACTTGCCTGCCTGCAGTTCCTTCTGAATCATTTTCTTACTAGTGAACTCCTACCCATCCTTCAAGCTGCAACTCAACTACCACTTTCTTAATAAGGGCTTCCCTGCATCTGCTGCCCCCACCTCATCCTTTCCACTCCTGCTATGGTTGCTCTTCTCTGCTTATTGGCATCACTCCCTTTTCCCCATCTGTCCAGAATGGCGCCTACATAATGGAAACCTTTTACTTTTCACTAGAGAGTTGACAATTTAGAGATTCTATATCATTTACATTCTATTTTCAGGCCAGGTATTGCTTTGTACTCATTTTGCCACTCCTGTAGCTTTCTGCAAACATGAATGCCTTTTTTCCCAGTGACAAGCAGTTTTTAAGTTTTCAAGTGTGAAAAGAGAAATAGCATGAGGGGCGCCAATGGATCTGCGTGTCAGCACATTGGCAGATTCTCCAAAATGTTTTCAAATTGTCAATTCCAAATAAGATTTTAGTTTCTTTCAAGTTTCAGAAAACGTGTATCTAACTTTGGAACAATGTAAGTGTTGTGCTGGAACTTTGAAAAAACACCAGAGTCACCACTGTCTAAGTTCTCTGGGCAGTATCTGCTATTATTTTCAATTCTGACAGACTTGGCACTTGAGGATTGCGCAGCCTCTGGTGACACAATGTGGAAAGAAGTTAGAGACACAAAGTAACATGGCATACACAGAAAAGTGAGAAGGATCTCTCTTTTCCCCTGGCTGCTTCTATCCACCCCAATTCCCCACCCCAGTCATCAAACTATTATCTGGCACCATTAACTTAAATTCAAGTGAAAATTGTGTTCTCTAACTAAAAACATTGAGTTTGTGGACTGAATACATTATTAGCAAGGGCTTTTCAAACTTTCATTTAAGTTTCATTATCAAGAGCTCTAAAATTGATCACTGATCTTAAGATTATCAACATACCTTTATTTTCTGAAGTTGTGAGAGGAATATAATAATCTTGTTTTCTTTTTAGTATAAGAAGAGATAGATGGGCGGAAGGATATCTGAGTAACCATTTTCTGGGAGATATTTTAAAGATAAGTGATGCTGGTTATTAAAATATAAATTACAAAATTGTTTGGCTGAACTAGATTGCAATAGGTTGTTCAGCAATGGGATTGGAAATAACAGAGACCATTGATAGTCATGGTGTAAAATAAGTGAGAAAGTACGAGGACATTATTATTTAGCTTTTGGATTTGGAATGTTAAAGAATAAGAATACCCCAATATTATTAGACTATCAGTGGTTGAAAGTTGAATGGAGGAGCTGTGAATTATGCATTGTTTCTCTTGCAGAACCCAGAGATCCTAATGTGAGATGGTGAGGGAGGGGGATATGTATTATTAAGAAATTTAGGTTTGATCTGTATTACTTTTACAACACAGAACGAGAAAAGAATGTAGACCTCCGGCTGGGGTTAGACTTGCTCCCTTCCGTAAGATGATGAAGGTCAACTTCCCTGTTTGAAAAAAAACAAAGTATGCTCTATGTGCGCGGAAAATCACTGTGCCAGATCTAGTAAAAAGCCACGATACCATTGGGTGTGGAAATGCAGAGACCCTCTGATTCAGGCTGTGTATTAGTGTCTTTCTGAATCACAAAGAACTCATGGAGAGTTATGATCACATTGAACACAGTAAAGGAATAACTATAATCATTTTTTTCAATTATACAAACATGATTGACTTTTTAACGAAAGACTGCTATTCTTTCAAAACACACGTTTCTCTCGCATTTCAGTTCCTTTTGCACTCACATTGCCATATGATACTCCTATCAAGGCTGTGATTTCTTCGGTGAATTAAGCAACAGAGCATGGATAGCAAACAATAAAACAGCTACTTTTCATGCAACACAAAAGAGGGAGCATTTTTCTCAGCACCGCGGCCTCATCACATCTTCTGTGTTTCCTGTCCCATGGGCGACGCCCCCACTCCCACCCGGTCTCCTTCCCGAGCAGCTCTGGGCTGCAGAGCCAGCTGCGTGCCATCCCGCTCTGCTTCAGCGCACGCTGAAGACGGCACTAGGACCCAGGGAAGTCCCCGAGCGGGGTTCGCGGAAAGGCAGCCAGACTCCTCCTTATCTCCAGTGTCAAACTTGACATCAGCCTGCGAGCGGAGCATGGTAACTTCTCCAGCAATCAGAGCGCTCCCCCTCACATCAGTGGCATGCTTCATGGAGATATGCTCCTCTCACTGCCCTCTGCACCAGCAACATGGATTGTCAGCTCTCCATCCTCCTCCTTCTCAGCTGCTCTGTTCTCGACAGCTTCGGGGAACTGATTCCGCAGCCTTCCAATGAAGGTAAGCCAGGTACCGCGACGCACGGAGCTCTGCCCCGCGGGGCTCACGCTCTTCAAAGCACGTTCTCACCGAAGCCTTGCACGTCGGGAAGGTGCCTCCGAATAGAGCAGTTTGCTCTGAGAGTGAAGGAAAGATGTGCCTTTTTTTTTTCCAACTGTCTTCTAAAACACTTCAGGAGATAATTTTAGATGGTCTAAACTTTGAAAATGTGTTTTTAATCTGACACCATTTCGAGCAATTACCTTGTTTGCCAATTTGAGCAGAAAGAAAGAAAGAAAATCCTCCAGCGTTGCAACCCAGTTATGTTAATTGCCAAATAGCCAAGGCAGTATTTTATTTTCTAATTATGACCATGTGGTACTCCGAGAAGTTTGAAAGAAAATTCAGCCTTCCTCTCTAGACTCTTTAGTATGTTTAAAGGTAATGACAGGTTGTTCCTACTTGGGATCATGGCATTTATGAATGGACTAAAGGGAAATCAGAGTTTGTCGAAGCGGAGGTGCGTGTTTATGGTGCAAGGGCTGTGTTGAAGTTGTGTGTATCCCGCCAGGCAATGGTTTGCTCTATGGTACAGGTTCTAAAGAGCAGCATATGCCACATTAACGTAAGTAATATTTGCAAGAATTACAATAAGCTTAGGTTGGATTCTCTTTGTTTAAAGGCTTATATACAAATAGGAGAATGTATTTAATGAATAGTGGATAGCTCCTGGGAAGATATAGTAAATAACTGAATAGTAGATTAAGAGAGAATGTTCATATGCAGCAAATGGCATTTCCTTGATGTTGTGTTATTTATTATCCTTGTAATGAGCATTAATTCCTTTTCAGTGGGTTAAAGTGCAAACCTAATGTTAAGGACACCAATGTGTTCTATAAGATTGTGTACTTAATACATACATTTTCTTTCTCCTGTATTCCTTTTGTGATCTATTCTTGTGAATACAGTCACTAACTCGTAAAACAAACTTCTCTAAATAATTGATTAGTGTAAAGCCACACTTACAACATTAATTTCCTCTTAGTGATTTTGAACTTATAACAGTAACATTTAGCAATTTATTTTGCAAGTTAACAATACCGAGCAACTGATGTGCAAACATCATGTTATATACATCACTCCTTAGAAAATATATTGTCAAGCCAATACTGTTGTATATGTACCTTAATTTTAAAAACACGAGTAAAAACAAAATACTTAGAAAGTTTTTTATTAAATGTAATAACTGCCTGATACTCGGTGACCTACTTTCACTGCTAATAGAGCAGTAATTTATCTCCTTCCTTACTGACTGCCTTTATCAATTTGGCAGTTTTCATTAAATGTTCTGAATCTTTTTTCTAAATAAGAAAATGAAAATTCTAAAATATAAGGATCAAGAAAATTATCTTACCCACAAATGACTTTTTATTTTACAAACCAAATTAAAATGTTTATTTGAAAGTAAGAGTCAATCATTCTTCCTGAATGAAAGGTAAGAGTATTCATTTGTATAACGGGTAACATGTATAATAGGTAACATATCAATAAATTAAACTTAATGTTTTAAAAATTTTTGTTCTTTGCAGATATTAAAATATTGACAATAACTAGAAAAATAGTATTAAAATTCCCACATTGTCATGATAAATTATATTTTCCAGATAGAATGGTTATGAACTATGTAGATATGGATATTACTGAATTAATTATGCACAAGAATGTAGCTGTTAGTCAGTATTTTTGTGGAAAACAACCTTTAAGTAAACTGCAAGAGAAAAAAAAAGACACCAAACTATTTCACACCTATGTAAAATTAATCAGTATTAATTTAATGAAACAGAGTTAATCAAATACAAATTGCTTTTAAGCCTCACCTCATGTATGTTTGGGGATATAATGTATATAATTATACAGACAGGTACACATTAACCATATGGATATAGAAAGGTAAATATATTCAGAAAGCTGACATAATTGCATTTAATTTGCTTGGATGAAAGTTTATCCATCATTCATGGGATTATTCCTTCCAGATTGTGTCCTATGGGTAGTGTCTCTTTTCCTTCCTGTGATTGTGAAGGGAAGCTTTAAAACAAATTTAAGATGATTTAACTTAGGTAATACTTGAGTGAGATTTTAAATATTATCCATAGCTGGGCTCTCAGTTGAGTTGAATAACATGAAAAGTGAAAATGCCAAGTATGTGCCAAGATTTCCGTGCAATTTTTCTAACAATGTAATTTAAATAGAAAGCAATTCTTTTGAAAATGTATATATGAGAGGAGTGGTGATTTAAAAATGGTATTAATGTAGTTTTCTGATATAATTTTTTAATTTTGAAATATGAAATACTAGACTGTATTTAAAATATTATGATTGAAATATTTCAACACTGTAAAAAATTTATGAGAAATTTACTGAAACATATTTACTAGAATATATTCTTCAATCTGTTATGAAGTTAGGCATTTGAGAACCAAAGAGAACAAAACCAGGCCATTGACTTAATTGCTAGGACATTTGCAGTTGTGTGATGTGTTTTTTAATTTAAGATTTAATCATTAAACATCAATATTGAAATGCCATGGGTCCCTGATAAGAAAAATAACTTAGAAAATGTTTAATCTGAATTTTCCTTCTATTAATGTATTTACAAATATCTCTCTTATATGCTTTCAAGAAAATGACTCCAGGTGATAATAGGGACTCATCAACGATAACAGATATTCATAATTCCAATGATCACTTGACTCAGCAATTGGCCTATATACTTAAACAGAACTTTATAAAAACTTTATTAAATTCTTATCAGGTCTCTCTGTTTACATGGCTTAAGAAAAGACTTTTAATGGGAGATCAGCTGTTTTTCATGGCAAAATATGATTGCTACACTACGTATTATTTTAAAAGTTCATATACTTACTCCTAGTTTCCATACCACAGGGATGATTAATGGTAAACAGAAATAACATTGGAACAAAGTTAAAACTGGATATAAAATAAAATTATCAACTGTGGTTACTTCAACCCTTTCAGAATTGGTAAAAATACTTTCTTTAAACACTTTTATACATTTATGGCAGTCTGGGGTACAATGCACTATTAATTCATCAGCACATAATACACTAAATCATTTTTTCTATCCAAAAGAGTTCATAAATTGGATTAACATTTACCTAGAAAGCTCTTTATATTGAAAATAGAGTATCCAAAATAAAACTGAATAAAATTAAATATTCATATTTATATACTACTTTTTTAAAGACTTTTTTTAGTAGCTAAGACACTATTTCTATGAAATGCATTTCCCTAAATATAAATATTCTAAATACTAGAGGAAACTATGCAATTGTTTAAAACTTAAAAGTAAAACTTGCATATGAATATTATAAGCTTCCCTTTGAGTAGTAGGCAAATGTTGGAGAAAATAAATAATCAATTTTTTCATTTTTAAAAATTACAATAAATTGGCATCACTTTTCATATATAAACACTTTTCCTCAAATAAGAACACACTGTGATTAAAACATTAATAGAGAACTAAGCTATCATATCATCTTTATAAGTTTTTTTGGTTTGGAAGAGGGTTTACATTTGCTTTTCATAGCATTTCATCATGCTAGACTAAATAATTGAATGCATTATACATTTTTGTAATTTAATAGCTCTCCTAATAGCTCACCCCTACATCCCCCCCCCACCCCGCCTCCATGGTTAACTGTGCTATTTGCCTGAAGGTAGGAGAAACCTTATTTTCACTATTTTATAACCCACAACAGTTAACACTTGACCTAGGTCATTAACAGGATTATCAGCAAATTTGTTTAAGCTTTTACTGACAATCTGAATTGCTACGATAATATTTTGAATGTCCCGTAAAGAAACTTTTTGTAACCTCTCAAAATCTATCACAAAATTAATTCATTCTGAATCTATATCTTTGTAAAGACTAGTATCTATAATAATAATTTGAGTGGTGAAAAGGTTCACTCGGATACCTCAATCTCTTTATTTTTATGTTTCATAATCATACTATTCCAGTCCTTGTCATAAATGAGCAATTATAAACTCTTTTAGATATTACATCTTCTAGTAATAACAATAGATTTATCAATACAAAACAGTTTCACTGTAACTATCAATATTTTTAATTTTATATTTTTAAATTATTGTTACTGTAGTTGATAGGGTTTTCTTTGCCTATTTTAAGGTTAAAAGTTAGTTGGATATACTTCTAATTCAGAAGTGACTGGACTTATAAAAGGGGAACTACATGTAATAAAACACCATTGCCACGTGTTAGATCATGGTTGTATTTTATATAAAGTTGTCTTTCCATGAAACACTAGAAATTGGGAGCTATAATGAAAAACACTTTAATACAAAAATTTAAAACAAAATATTGTACAGAATCAGATCTTAGAGAGTTATTTTTAACATTTTTTAGTAGGTTTAGGAAGTTTTTGGTAAAGTTTTTCATTTCTTGAATTGAATTATGGTTGGCTCGTTGGTCATATTAACAACTTAGTAATCTCACGTTGCTCTTAATAAGTTTATTATTAAATAAATGATTTAGTAACATTCTTTATGTATTGCCTACATTTAACATTCAAACTTTGGTGTGTTCCTTAAGGGTCCGACCATTTTTAATACTTTTCCACAATAAATTTCTTTCTAATGTTAAAATCCTTTCAGAAATTTAAATTTTTTTCGGAAATAAAATATATGCAATTTTTAAATATCAAATAGTTACTTTTGCAAATGATTTTTAAAGGCAAAATATATTTCCAAAATATATTTGATTTACTAATTTCAACACAAATGAAAAAAAAAAGAAGTGTTCTTGAAAGTTACATTTTCCAAGTCATAAGATCTTCAGGAAAATATTAATAAAACTTTCCTCAAATCATCAAACTCGATAAGGTTTTATAGACATTTACTAAAAAAAATCTGTGATCTGGGCTACTTTTTATTTGAATCATTCTTTCAATGATTCGGTTTGGCATAAATACTAGATATAAGGGGAAACGTGTATTTCTTGGAAGAACATTAAGTTTTACAAGTTATTTTCTGTCAAGATCCTCAACTTTATTTTTTAGCCTGCACATTTTTTCTTTAAAATATTTAATAAACCTTGTTCCTTTAATTCCTGTTTGAGAGAAGATTTAGAAGAACAGATGCAGGTGTCTCCTTTTGGGTTCTGTTTTCAGAGATCTGGATTTTATCATCACGGAAGGTCAATAAAGGGCTTTTACCAAGTACACAAGTAGCTTTCCACAGATTTTTTAAATAAAGGGTTGACCAGTAGTGTGAAACATTCATTATATTATTCATCCAGTTATACAGAAAACCAGGATTAGAAATTTACTTCTCAGAAATGTGGAAACCTTAGCTAACTCTTCTGTAACAACTTTAGAAATATTAGTAAAAGCAATATTGTGACATTTATAAAATGCAAAGTCTTCCAAGTCACAAATCAATCCACCTAGGAAGACATCCCTCAGTGTGTTCGGGGTGTGGATACATGTGCGCCACTTGCTTGATTTCATTAAGTCTGTTCCCAGCTGCTTGGTATCAGGTAGTTCTTGGAACCTGGCAGGAGGTTTTCTCCAGGAAAATCTGAAAGTCAGCAAGTTTTAGTTTGCCTCCTACCAGCTTCCTTTGTACAAAAAAAAAAAAAAAAAAAAAAAAAAAAGAGGGGAGGGTGGTCGATTACAAAGAAAAAAGTTTTTGCAGGAGAAAAGAAAATAAAAAAAGTTGATTAGAAAACTGGAGAAGTAGAGAAAAGCAAAGGTTTTAAAGCCAATGTTAATATATAAATCATTTGCTTAAAAGAAAGGCATTTATCACGTAAAACATCTGGCTAATCAATTTTTATTAAATCCCTAAAAACCCCGCACACTTAAAATGGGGTTGAGGTGGGGGGGGGCTGCATTTCTTTGTTTCTCCTCAAGTTTACACACTTTTGATTTTTTCCCAGAAGAAAATATTTCATCCAGGAAAGTTTTAAGAGTGACAGCCAAAAAATGCTAAAATGCTTCCCCCTTTGAATGTCTGGACGAATGCATGTGGAGGGGTGGACAGAATCAAAATCAATTCAGCAAATAAAGCCTCAAATTTGAAGTGATGTTATTAAACTAGAAGCCCTGAGTGTGAACATCCCCCAACCCTTCATTTTCTAAATCATGTCCCGCTGTTCCAGTCAAAGCAAAGGGTGAAAATCCACATAATCCAAACCAACATGGTGAAGTGAGAATAATAGGTGAGGAAGGAGGAGGAAAGCAAGTGGCAGCACTGTACAAACAAACTGTTGTGAATATTCCTCGCCATGGACAGGAGTAGCCACAGGAGGGGATAACTGCCTTTCTTCTTCTTCGCCTTACACTTTCCACATTTGATAATGCAAATTCATTAAATTACAAAAGTGTGTCATGCGAAATTTTAGCACAAAGCAGAGCCGTACGGGTAGAGACAGTAATGTGGCAACAGGGAGATGAGCAAGTGTTCCTTGCTGCCACCACACCCACCATCAGGGTGTCTTAACCACAAACTATTCTCCGCTAGGTCCAGGCTCGTTGGTGCAAAGGGAAAACAACGGTGTCTCTCAACAGTTCACTGCTTGCTCACTCTGCATCAAATTAAAGATGAGATCATAAAAAAACATCTCCGGGTGCGCGTAACGCAGTCTCAGCCCTCTGGAGGCCAGTGGGTTCTTTGTGCACAAGTCTCTCCGCGCCTGGCTGCCCAAGTCAGTTCCCGGAGCGCGACCAGGGTGCCACGGCCTCCGTCCCGAGGTAGGGTGGGTGGGCGAGCGCAGCCTGATGCTCTTTTGCTCCGGGTTTCTGCCCCCGGGCGGACGGTGTAGACTCTGTAGCGAGCGGAGAGCGAAGGTGCAAAGTTAAGCGAACACGAGCGCCAGGAGGAGACTGGAGCGCGCGAGAGGCAAACGTGCGCCCTCTGCCTGCTGCCGCGGATCTGCTGGCACTGGGAGAGCACGGCGTACTCCTTGCCACCTGGACCCTCCTTACCTGGGCGTCAGTAAGACGCCAGAGAGTCCATGCGCCTTGGACGGGCCTGGCAGGTCCTGACCTGAGGAATAGACTTTAATTCAGGATCTACGATCGCCCTGCCGCCTTTCGCATTGCTGTCAGCTAGGCTTTTCAGTTTGATGTCTGGAAGTGGCGTGTCTCTTTTCCATCCATTTTCATGGGTTCACCAGGTGACAGCCAGGGGAAGGAGATATTCTGCAAGGTTCGCTGCCGGATTGAGAAAGCATCTCTTACTGGGTGCGCTTGGTTGAGACTCACAGGAGTTGCCTCATACGCCCTGTTGTGCAGCTTGCTGATTTCTAACCCTATCCCTTTACTATTTCTTCATCTTTTGGGCATTCAACTCTTTTGGTGTCGCTAGACTAAAATGAAGAATATCTTTTTTTTTTTTTAGAAAAATTTTCTTTAAAACTACCTGCTAGTGCCACCTTTAGGCCCCTAGTAATTGCTGAGGGGATGTCAGTAAACTTTTCCCCTGTGCATATTCAAAAGTTGTCTGTGTTCTCCCAAAGCCCGTGTTTGACTGACACCATTTTATTAAAACAGGATTTTTCCTCTTCCAATATTGGGAGTAAACATGGAATGGGCAAGAGAGGGTTTTTGGGAGCTGTGCTATCGAGATAGCTTGGTGGGTGGATGATCCTGATGTTTCTGTGGCTGTGTTAGAACTTCAGTCTTTTTCATAAAAGATGATTTTGTTAAATCCTGTAGACTTCAAGACTAATATATCCTCAGTGCCGTGTTCAACACTGAGAAAATAATTGCTCAGTGCTCTGCTGGCAAATAGATTTTTCCCTTACATTATCATTCACGACTTACTGAACCTCATTTAATCGTTAAAGCAGCCCTAAAATAGGTAACATAATGTTTCCCATTGTTACAACTGAGGAAACTGAGAAAATGGATCATAATAAAGCGGTAACTAAGCCAAGCCCTCTCTCGTCTTTGTCTTTTGATTTTAACCTCATATGTTTTCTCCTAGACACAAATGACTATGAACTAGGGAGGCATCATTGTCAGGAAAAGCACTAGCTTCTCAACCTTAATCCCAGTGACTGTACTAATTTGTCTTCTGACTTTGCAAGGATAATTTAGAAACATTCAGAAATTTGTAGTGAAAAATTGAAGAAAACCATATAAATGAGGGTACTTTGGAACTGTAGTTACACTCATAAGTTATGATTATCTGCGTGTGGGGGGGACCCACTAAGAAACTAAGTTAAAGGAATTTGTTGTGGACAGAAGAGTAGATGAAAATATCTGTGATGACTTTTCTTCACACGTTCTTACCTCTGTGTTCCTTTCCTGACACTCAAACACTCCTTTCATCACCCTGGAAAGAAGATTTTGTCAGGAATTCCATACATACAGATAGTGAGGAAATTGTACAATATAACCAGAGTGTGATTATTTAGGGTTATGTGTAATAAAAATGAAGTGTGAATTAACAATTGGAATTATCTTAAAGGTCAGTAATAGGAGAAAATAGAACATGGTCCAAAAAGTAGACTTTAGTCTCTGTGGAAATTTCCCCCCGTTTAAAATATAATTTTTAAATTGCTTAAGATGAGAAAATAAATTTTAGTGATTTAGCTCTTCTTTCATAAAAGCACTTGTATTCTATTTAACTCCTGCCATTGAGAAAAGGTAGCTAAAACAGGCTTTTGAAAGGTAGCAAATTAAGTTGGGGGCAATTATATTTTTCATGTGGGTATTTTAGCACATATGTTTTGCATTAATTGCTGCAATAAATTCTGTTAACCTGGCAAAGAGCAAAAATAGCATATTGATGACATCAGGCTTCCAAAGCAGAAAGCAGCTTTTAGTATCTTGCTGTCTTCACTGTAACATTAAAAAAAAAAAAAAAAAAAAAACTAATGTGGTGGTTAACCAAAGAGTTAGCCATTCTTTCAAGCTATTGGCATATTTTCCATGAACAAAGTGAAGAATTAGCAACAAACTTTTTCCCCCTTACTTCCAGAGAATTCATGTCAATTACTCATTTTCCTGTTATTTGATTTTTTATATTCATATTTGTTACTCATTTTCCTATTATTTGATTTTTTTATATTTATATTTGGGTTTTCAGAACTCTCTCAAATCAAGGCAAATGTAAACTGACTTTAAAGGCTCCAAACTGAGCTGTCTTCCCTTTTAAGACAAACATCTTGACTGATTACATAGCAGGGCCTCAAAAGGGACTTAAGCAAATAGAGAATTGTGGGTTAATTTTATTACTGAGAAGTTTAGTTGGTCAATATCAAAACTGTTTCTTCTCGATTTTTAATACATTCATTTTGAGAAGGTTAATATAGGTTTTTTCAATTAATAGTTAAGAAAAATAGATGAATAAGATCTAAAGGTCCAGTAAGTGTAAACTGCCTCATGTAAGACTTTAAAATTTTACTTTTTGCCTATGATAAAGTTGATTGATTTCCAATCAACAGGAAATTGTAACATTTCCTATCTACCTCAGACTGACTAAGGGGAACACAGAGCAGCTTG
This sequence comes from Homo sapiens, assembly GCF_000001405.40. Lineage (NCBI taxonomy): Eukaryota > Metazoa > Chordata > Mammalia > Primates > Hominidae > Homo > Homo sapiens. Next base: position 89,117,373 of record NC_000003.12, read on the forward strand.
TTAGCAGTTAACATGTATTTATTTCCTGATTTTCAAACGCAATTTAGCAATTAATAAAACTGTATAGCTTTTAAAGGGATATATTCTTTCATTGCATCTGATGGCAGTCTTCACACTGAGGGAAAGTCTGGGAAGCTAATTTGCAATGTCTTCCATGTGGATTATCTAACTAATCCTCTGGGTAAGCAAAACACCACTCACAGGAAAAGTCTATTTGCAGCACTGTGTGGTGTGTTATATCACCAACAGTATTGTCCTCTTACAAAACTGAGCTATTCCCAAACTGTAAGCAAAATTTAATGAATAAATATATACCTTTTGACCTCATTATGGCATAATTTTTTTTTGAATTACAAACAGGTGATGTGAAAAAAACAAAAACAACCATTGATTTATTTGTCACTATCTAATCTTGTTCATTTTCCCCAATTGTCCTCTAATCATCTATAATATTCAAAGGTGGCAAAAAGGCTAGAGTTATATACAAACTGAGATTTCTTTCCCCCTTGAATAAGTCACAGCTGATCATGGTAGATTTTGCTTTTTTTACAGAATAAAAGAACTGACAGCATCATAGAAAACTAGAACTAGAATTAAGTCAGATTGTTACTCTTTTATGAAATCTATAAACACCACCAAATCTAGTAACTGCCAAATATTGGAAATATTTTCAAAGATGCAGTATAAAAGGACATAGTATTTTTCTCTTGGTTTACTTTTACTATCTGGTTTACTATAGATAATTTAATACTCATTTACATTCGATAACTCAAAAAGATAAACTTAGAGGTTTTATTATAGTGTTCTTGACACTTCTGATCTAAATTATGATTTGATTGTCCTTGTTCTCTGAAAAAGAAATTTCCATGTGTAATTATATGTATTTCATCTGGCTAAACTAGTTAATCCATGCTTAACAATGGTTTTTTTCTATATTTTCAGATACAAGTGATTTTCTTTGACATTTGTACATTGCATAAAGAAAATTTTTCTTATCTTTCAAAGTGATGTTCCAAATCATACTAAATGTTTTAATATTCCCACAAGAAAAATAAAATGAGAGGAAGAAAACTAAAAAGATATAAAATTAGTAATATTCCTTTAAATTTTTCTTTCCAAAGGTGATCCTTTGGAAATTAACTAAGCATGTTTTATTTTATGTTTGGCCAGGTGTGTAGTAGGTTTACTACCCTAACCCTATTAGTGAAAACTTTGGAACTCTAAATGTAATGACAAAGGCACAACTTTAAGAATCATTAAAATGAGTCAAGAAAAGGGTTGATATATAACTAATTGCCTGTTACATAATGACTCATCTTTCATATTATAATAATTTATTGTCTGTTTATTTACCAAACAGTACTTATCTGAGGATTAGTTACCCACTAGATTTTGAAAAAAAATATCTGCTAGGGAGTGGAATGCTCTGTGCTCTTGAAGATGTCAAATTCAATGGGATAAATGAATCTAAAATAAATACTTATATAAAAATTGTTATAACATAGATATGAAAATTATGAAAATATGATATGAATCTTTAGTGGAGGGTGCAATTTAAGTCCCAGAACAGAGTCCCTGAGAGACAGGGAGAATTTTTTTAAGGTAAAAGATAATAATAAATTCATAAAAACAAGGACTAGGAGATTAGAAGCTTTGCTTAAGTTCATGTGGTGGGGATAATTTTAACCCAGATTTATTTTTAACTGCATGTAACTTTAAAAATAATTTAAATGAATATATAACAAAGACACACTTTTAAGCATGTCCAAAATAACTAAATATTCAGAAATAGTTCTTGTTAAGCACATACCGAAGCTAACATAAATTCTTTACATTACATGTGAGTGCATGTGAATATATTGGAAACACATGTGACTGAATATCAAAATAGAACCATCTCCATATAAAAACTTCTGTAGGTGCTATTCCTATTATGACTACACTACCCAAAAATATCTCATTGGTCTTTATTTGCATTCTGCCATCTCTTTCATCAATAAATTAAAAGTTTTCTGACTATTCCAGTGCGGAGTTTGATGCTTTCCATTGACACCATGCTCCTAAGATGCAAAGGAAAAGACTAGTGTTTTGAAATAAACTGCTAAGAATGTGGTACCATATTTGATCCTTTGGGGACCATTATAAAAACCCAAAAACAAGTCTTGAAGAGTTTGTTCGTGTGTGTGTGCCTGTGTTTGTAGATGTCCATCAAATTTGTATTGTCATGATCAAAATAAATGATACACCTGAGATTTTAGACAATCCAGATATTCTGCAGAATATGATGAAGTCAGAACTTTATTCTGATTTTAGTTTTCCAGAAATTTGTTTAATAAGGAAACCAATTTATTCTACAGTGGGGTTCTTTCAAAACAAATATGTGTGTATGTATGTGCACATGTGTGTTTGGGGATGCCAAAATGTCCAGAGGATGTTTTTAAATTTAAACTTACTTTTGTTTCACCACTACATTCTTTGTTTCCTATGCTAGAATTTTGAATCTTTATATCCAACGGACTTCTAGGAACTATGTTTATTTCTAAAGGAAATACTACATTAGAGTTATTCTGTAGGCCAGTTTTCTTCTTGTATTCTATTTTCCCAGCCAACAGTCAAACTCTGGCTGAACAGATAGCCTGTGCTATCTGGATGTCGATATTCTACATTTTATGATAATATGATTTTTTAAATACCAAGATAGACTGATTTTATGGGGTGAAGGCAAAATGCATATGCTGTAGTTTAAACTGCTATTTCCCTTAATGACTATTTGTATTTCATAATTGAGTAATATGTTTTCATTTTTCACTTTTTAATCTTTCAAAAAGGTCTCTCTGAATTGGATGTAAACAATCATTCTATTACTTCTGGAACACTTTAAAAAGCAAAACTGTGAAAAATAAAATGCTGTTTACATAATAATGTCCTGGTTTTAGAAACTTACATTTTGGGAGACACATTTTACTCGTCTGAATGATTCATAATATCAGTTAACAATGGAGAGAAACAAAGAGCTGTTATTTAAGTCAGGCTGTTAGTGCACTAAAAATTCACTGGCAGTAGAGCATCACAACTCATTTATGTGAAAGGATTATTTTGTTATAAGAACACATTTTTCTACTGATATCTTGATACCTGTTTGTTCCATAATAGTTTTGATATCAGTATGACCTTTATATTTCTCTGATTAAAAGAGAAAGAAAGAAAATTTTAACACTTGATAAACAGCATAGGATTGACATTTACTAAAGTAAGTTTCTAGCAGAATTTTGTTCTATGTTATTTCCTGAATCACTCTAGTTATAAAAACACAGACTCATCTTATTGTGAGACTCTGTTTTGATTCCAAGGAGTTCCCCCTACTGTTGGCAAAGATTGAGATGAGACAGCTAATTGCAATTTCTTCTATAAGATCTTTATAGAAATAAATCCAAAATTATTGCCCAGGAGAAAAAGCTAATGAGAAAGAATAAGTTAAGTGCAGAAATCTTCTTATATCACATAAATAGGCTGTTAAAATACCACCTGACCAAAGGTTTTTCATAGCAATGTTTAACATGGCAGCATTTAAAAAATTACTACATCAGCCTGGCACGGTGGCTCACACCTGTAATCCCAGCACTTTGGGAGGCCGAGGCCGGCGGTTCACGAGGTCAGGAGATCAAGACCATCCTGACTAACGCGGTGAAACCCCGTCTCTACACAAAAACAAAATTAGCCAGGCGTGGTGGCAGGTGCCTCTAGTCCCAGCTACTCGGGAGGCTGAGGCAGGAGAATGGCGTGAACCTGTTAGGCGGAGCTGGCAGTGGGAGGAGATCGTGCCACTGCACTCCAGCCTGGGCGACAGAGCGAGACTCCGTCTCAAAAAAATAAATAAATAAATAAATAAAATAAATTATTACATCATAATTTTAGCTGTTCATTTGATAAAAATTGTATAAATTAACATTTCTGTGATATAAAATGCTGCTAAATTTAACACAGTTTACAGGAACTTTTATCTGCACACAATTGACACATAATAGTTGACTTCGTTTATAGTACAACATTTTTATAATTTTTATCTGTGAAATAAAATACTAATTAAAGCTATTAAAGTATTTTGGCTGGGCACGGTGGCTCACGCCTGTAATCTCAGCACTTTGGGAGGCCAAGGCGTGCGGATCATGAGGTCAAGAGATCGAGACAATCCTGGCCAACATAGTGAAACCCCGTCTCTACTAAAAGTACAAAAATTAGCTGGGTGTGGTGGCACACGCCTGTAGTCCCAGTTACTCAGGAGGCCGAGGCAGGAGAATTGCTTGAATCCAGGAGGCAGAGGTTGCAGTGAGCCAAGTTTGTGCCACTGCACTCCAGCCTGGCGACACAGGGAGACCCCGTCTCAAAAAAAAAAAAAAAATTATGCTTGGGTAGAAAGAAAATAAATACAAACAGGAAGTCCACAGGAACAATTAAATTAAGAATATACAAGCATGGTAGATAAAAGTTATGTTGCAATATATAAGTACATCAAAAATCTATCTTCTCTAAACTTCTCAATATCATACCCTGCTGCTTACAGTAAAACAGAAAAGCTGAGCTTTGCTGAATTCCTATCAGAAAATATAGGTCGATTTCTTAATTCTGTATTATGTTTGACCGGAGAACTACACAGAGAATGATAACACTGAGTACAAAGTTTATTTCTTTCTGTATCATTTTCTTCAATTTGTGACATTTAAATATACTTAGAAGCAGATTGAAGAGCTCTGTGTAGTCCTGTAACCTAGAGCAAAGTTATTCTGCTTATTATAACAGAAAGTGGTGAAAATCATAAAGATAAGTATTTGTGAAATGAGGCTGGGACAATTACAGTGATGGTGTGCATAGAAAGAAACTGTCATTACTCTTTAGTGAAAACAAGATGTAATCAAAGGATGGGCTTATTTTTGTTGTAGTGGTTTTATAGTTATTTGTACTTGGCTATAAAAGTCCCTTATAACTGAAGGTTTTACTAGAGAACATGTGCATTATTATATGAGTTTGAAATTCTTTAGCCATTAAAGCCTACTGTTAACCTTGAAATGATTGTTTAATAATTATTTATAACTCAGTTTCATAAAATGCAACTATAGCCTTACCACAAAGCCTATGGGTGTATTATTAGGTAATTGGAAAGATCTGCTTCAGTAAAAAACTGTGGCATTTAATTTTAAAAACCTTTTAGAACTCTCTGCATGTTTGTGGCACTTAAAAATCTTTCAAGGTGTGAATATTAGTTTCACTCTCAGTCTTTCTAAGTGGACAAGTAGCCACTATGAATCAGAATTTAGAAATGTCCTTTAAAAATCTTTATGTGTTAATAATTCTCTAAAAATCAAAACTCCAGAAACTTGTACATTTTTAATCCGCCCTCACTAACTGGGAACATTTGTTTCAAGCCCTTCTTTTAGTAACTGAGAATTTGAAATAAAAAGTCTTAGTTTGTTCCTTTTACTAAGAAGAAAAGACTATGTAAATTATTTGAATAGGCAATTATTTGTGACACTACCAATACTAATGAGCAATTTTACTAGGAGTGGACTTTTGATTGAGTCTCTCCATTGTGACAGAGGATAGGAAAGGAAGAGAGAGGATGACTCTGGGAATCTTAATCCCACAATCCAAAAGAGGGGGAAACATAACAGTAGAAATCAGTGGCAGAAATGACATCTAGGTTTCCTCCTTTCCATAAGTACTTATTACCAATTTGAGCCAATTTGCTCTATACTTTCCTCCTTTTTTTGTTTGTTTGCTTTGTTTTGTTTGTTTTTGAGATAGTTTCGCTCTGTTTCCCAGGCTGCATTGCGGTGGCGCAATCTCGGCTCACTGCAACCTGCGCCTCCGGGTTGAAGCGATTCTCCTGCCTCAGCCTCCCAAGTAGCTGGGATTACAGGTGTGTGCTGCCATGCCAGCTAATTTTTGTATTTTTAGTAGAGATGAGTTTTCGCCATGTTGGCCAGGCTGGTCTTGAACTCCTGACCTCTGGTGATCCACTTGCCTTGGCCTCCCAAAGTGCTGGGATTACAGGCATGAGCCACCGCGCCCGCCACTATACTTTGTTTTTACTCCTTTACTCCATTCTACACCTTCTTATTTACGTCAGAAACCACCATTCCTTCTTTCCAGATCTTAGTAACTTAGTGCCCATCTGAAAGTCAAATCAACAGTCCAAGTAAGGATTGCCTTCCCCTTCTTATGAATATAAGCCCCTTCTAGTCATACATCTCTATTTAAAAGCAATTAGAGGCAGTAAAACATGTGAAAGAAAAACCTAGAACCATATCCATCTATACTTAAGATGGTGTTTTCCAAATTCATTTTTGCCCAGAAAAACTCCAGTTATTTATTTACCAACTTAAATAGAATCATGACATTTAAAAACATTTCCAATTTAAATCACTTTCATTAAAAAAGTTTATATATTCCACATAGTTTTTTGAATATAAAATATTCTAAAATTAACAAAATAATGTGTTTTCTGTTACACACCAAAAATATTTGGCAATCACATCATTAGAATATGAAATCTGGGAAGGGGTAACTTACAGCTTTGATAAATAACTGGCATGAGACAGCCATTAAAGAATGAAGTCATGCATATGTTCCTATCTAGCCTTAAGAAAGTTTTCTTTTTGTCAGATTTTATCATTGCGAACTCGTATTGTCCAGCAATTGAAATAAACTATCCAACTACTAGTGCAATTAAAATTCAGTCCACAGTAGTATATTTGTATGTCACAACTCATTAGCCTATCCTGTCTGTCCTAGAGTTTGAAAGGAAATGATCAGGTCTAGATATGTTTAGAGAGGGGACAGCATTATAGTAACCAAAGTTCTTGCCTGTATCAGTGTGAGATTTAAGATATGTATTGCAATGTTACATTGAGTCAATGTATGCAGAGAAATCGCTCACAGATTTACTTTGAAATTCCATTCATTGTCTTTTCTTACCTCAATTATGCTGTATACTCAAACAGTTCTACAATGGATCACAGGAGATTTGAGGTTTGTATCCTGGGAGTCCCAATTAAGTAACAATTCACTTTAAAGTATTTAGAATTCTTAGACGGTGTTATTTTTATTTGGGTACAAACAAAAGGCACTTTATAAATCCAAAGTATGTGCTTTTAAAGTGTGTTTTGAAGTTAACTATTCTACTCTACTAGATCATGTATTTAGGTCATGTAATTGAATTATAAATACAATTTAGAAGCCACAATGGAACTGTTGTTAAATAATATTAATGTATTAAATTTACGAGAAGGAAGTCTGTACAGCATGTTATAAACTCATGGTGGATTTAAAGATATTTATGGTATTTGAACATTACAGCAACATTGCAAGATACTCAGGGTAGATATAATTGATAGACAATAGAATCAGTCAGAAGTAATGCTGCTAATTGTGTTTTTCTCATTTATGCTGAATAGAGTGCACTAAAAATTTAATTTCTGAGTAAATGCAATAAATTTAATTAATCTTCTACACTTACTTTAATTGACTGTATGGTCTAACCTATTTTGGTTTATTTGTTCTCCTTTGAGTAGAAACCAAATGCTGATGTGATTAGTCCAGTTCTTTTCCATTGTTCTTATTATCAGAAGAAACGTAAGGATATGGTAGTTCATTAGTTGACAACCTACATTCCAATAAGTAATTTACTAAATGGAGTCTATGTAATAACCATATCTTCTTCTTCTCACTCTGGTTACTAATACTGAGATTAAACTAGTGATTGATCTTAACATGTGGAGTAACATATAATTATCATTTAGTAATGTGCAATTACTACCTGAACACAATGATACATTAAGCCATTTAAACCCCTAAGGACATTGCAAATATAATCTAATAATTTATGTATACTGGCAAGCTGATTTCTACTATGCAAATCCCATATAAAGCTCAGAGAAATTAAATGATTGGTATCACACAACTAACAACTGAACTAGGTATATCTTTTATCAGAATAAATGTTAGTAATATCCTTTAATTTAAAGGTGAGGAAGTATTTTCATATTTTCAAAAATTTTCTAACAGTTATCTGAAATATAATCTATAACATTGATTAATTGGTTGAGGGTATTTAATTATTTTTCAGAGATAATTGCAATATAATTAAGCATACTGTTAATTTCCAAACTGATATCCTGGGAAATAATTCAATTATGGAAATTATACTATGTAATCCATGCAGCGGCTATCTATCTTCTGTTTTAATTTAAATACAATTACTTCTAATTAGGATTAATTTATTGGGAAAAAATTCTTTAATCATTAAGGAATTATAATATAAAAGGTAAAGTTTATGTTTGTCTTTCACTAGCAAAACGTAAAGAATCTAACTTTGAGAATTGTATTTCTTTTAAATTGTAGTGATCAAGAGCCTTACTTTTACCCATTTAATTTATTTATCAACTAACCAGATAATCAAAATTTTAGTACTGCTTGAAAATTTAGAAACCTAATGTCTATCAAATATGTAATTTATTTTTCTTAACATTTTATAAGATTAATATTTCCTTCACAAAAAAATAGTTGAGATGATTTTTTAAAGTCTATCAAATACACAATTTATTTTTCTTAACATTTAAAAGATTAATGTTTGCTTTGCAAAAAAAAATACTTGAGATGACTTTTAAAAGGATGGTGCTTTTCATGTATCAGGAAACACTTTATAAACAACATGAGAACATGTTGTGCGGTGTATGTATTTACATTATGTTTTGGTTTGTGTATATATGTAACCCCTGAAAATGATTCCCTTCTATTGTATTTATTGATTTTCATGGTCTGGTTCATGTTAATAATGCATGCTTAGTTTATGTAACCTTCCTTCACATCCTCCATTAGTCAATCATGGGATTGTTTTCTAATTTAGGAGAAAGATGAGGTAAAACCATAGTTTCCATTATTTAATAGGTCAGATAGACAATTAAAGTGAACCTTTTGTTATTGATTGTATTTGAAATGCTGTTGTATATTTTATTTTCTAACCTATTACAAATGAATATTCAGTATGGAAAATAAACAGTGTTCCATCTTCTTTTAATAATATATTAAAAATGCAACCATATGCATGCTATATTTTACTTTTTGTATACAAATATCGATTAAAAGTCATTAGAACTAGCACAAAGTTCTGAGTAAAACCACTAAAGCCTTTGAGTAAAAATAATTACTTTAAATAAGTAAAGCTTTACACAGGTGTTATTATAAAACATAGTTTTACTTTGATTTCTCCTCAAATTGGTAGTTAAGCTTTTTGTGTGTTACATATAAGTAAATAATGAATACATTTTTAAAAAATACACATTGCAGAATAATATGTTGAGTATTAGCCAGGGATGATATGAAGGTGTCATATTAGATATAAATAAACAGATAAATTGACTCATTCTGTCAACATATTTAAGAAATGAATTAATTGTGGAATCATATGTAAATTTATCAAATTTAATATTTTTGAAGTTATTTTGATATGCTAGCATTAATGTTGTTTTCTATTATGCATTTTTATTGTTTCCTCTTTAAACCCATAATTATTATGCCAGAAATTGCCAGTATATTGAACATTAACCTATCCTTGTAAACAAATGCAAACAGTTTAAAAGGACACAGAAACTTTTGATCTCTTAACTTTCCCTGTGTATTTTTTGTAATTTCCTTCTTTTTATCCTAATTATAGACTTATAATGAGAAGGAAGAGTTATGTTTTTTGAGCAACATCAACAACAGACAATGTGAACTCAACAGAAGCAAATAGAAATAATTCACTGTTATTAACTGTGTTTGTGTATTATGTTTTATTTTAGTCAATCTACTGGATTCAAAAACAATTCAAGGGGAGCTGGGCTGGATCTCTTATCCATCACATGGGGTGAGTTCAATAAACTATCACAAGGAAACATTTTCTCTATTACCTGTCTTAGGGAGCAGATGAATTTATTGTATTCTCTAAAGAGAACTCTTGTACTTCTGGTGACAAATTATACTTATAGGAGTATTCAATATATGGAGTACCACAGCTTGACATTTGTGTCCAATGGAGCTAGTGAGAATTTTGAAGATTTTTTTTCTCCTTAATTTATCAATTGCTTGAATGGACTGATTAAATAGTTTAATTATTATTGGCATCATGTCAATGATCTAAGAGTGACTTTTTTTGATGTGATCAGAATAAGTGAATTAATTAGACTGTCTAAATTTCAGGTAATGTAGAAAGTGTGTATTTGGAGACGGTAATCTCCAAAGTCATAGCCTTAAAATCAACCTCAGTAACTGCTCTTCCAAGTAGTTAGAATTTATTGGTCAACAGTATAAACCTATGTTGTCTTAATTTACTTGTTTCAAATGTCTACAGTTTGCCTAGATCAGCTCAAAAATGGGAATATTACTTAGAAAAAATCTGCTGCTGCCTTTAAGTTTTAAACTTTTTACATAGCTTTGGTATTTTATCAATCCAGATACAAATTACAGAGTGTGTAGCATATTGGTGTTCTGAATGACTATAATGAGGCTTTTATGGGAGAACATTTTTCTTTTATTTTTTCTGAAAAATGAGGGGAGTGTTATTTACATTTCTCAAACTCTTTTCCCTACACAATTGTGTAATAAATTCCTGAGCATACCTTTTTGTTTCTAAGTATAGTTTGTGAAATATGTGAAGTACTATTTTGAAATATTTGTCATAGGAACAAATTTATGTATTCCTGTCCTTCTATGATAGTCGTCTTTTCAAGAGATTGTAATTACTTCCACTTCGTGTTGGCGTTCAGTCTTTAGATTTTTGTGCCTAAATATACACAATTTTTTGATAGCACCAGCTTCTTCACCAGCGGATGTTTTCCATCAGAGATACTTCATCTATCTGTCATCTTTGTATCTGCTTCTCTTCCTGACACACCTTGACTTTGACAATATGCCAAAACCTAAAATCAAGCCTTCATTAGTTACTTTAGAGGAGAGAGTATGAAGTAAGCCAGGATTTGGTTTTCCCAGAGGTGTAAAAGGAATCAAATGATTAAGATAAAAGCACAGCCTAGGTTGTCATAAAGAGTGAATTGAAACTCAAGTTTGAGCTGGAAAACTCATTTGAAACTAATCATCTAAAAGTCAAACCTCACCTTAATTTGATTTTAGAAATTTAAATTTTTCATGACTCCTTCAGATAATATACCAGAGAATCTGCTGCTTCAGGATATAAGAAAAGCAAAAGCTATGGTAACATTTAGTAACTATATATTAGTATATGGTATACTGTATACCATATATAGACATACTATATACTATATATACTATATACTCAATAATATAGTATATATATTACTATATTAGTATCTATAACTAATAGATATGTATATGTTTCTTTTTAAAACAAGAAATCATCTTATATTTCACAGCAACAGTCTGGCTTATGTTTTCCTTTAAAGAAGGTATAATGGTAACACATTTTTTATATTGGGAATTGGGGGAAATGAATTCCCCCATTGTTATTCTCATAGATAATGTGATGGGATAGAGTTGGCACATCTACTTCCAGAGCTATGTTGGAGGTAGACAGTGGGGTATTCTTAGCACCTTGCTGGGTAAAGTGTGGCACAGGGACAAACCAGCAACATCAACATGTGGGAGATTGTTAGAAATGCAGACTACCAGACCCTGCTCCAGACATTGTGAATCAGAATGTGTATCTCAATAGGTGACTCTTTAGCACATTGAATTTGAGAAACACTCCTCTGCATAAATTACCTCTTCACATTTCCCATCTCTGGCCCAATTTACTGTCTCTTTGTTCCCCAGAAATCTCTTATAACTTCCACAGTCAAAAGTTTTCAGTTTCTTCTTTGGTTTACTGTTGCCTCAGAGATCCCCACTTGGACCCATTAGCTCCTCTTCATTGCTGTCCTCTGTTGATCTTGCAACTGTGATTTTCCTATTTCTGATGCATAAAATAGCCTAAAACAGTTGGTCATTCTCTTCAAGCTTATCATTATTATTTGCAGGGAGAAAAGAGACACTCCCCAATAGTTCATGAAACTTACAATACCTGAGAACTCCGAAGCTAAAAAAAAGAATAAAATCAAATGATGTGAATTATTGTTCTGTGGTGATATATAGTGTATATTTCCTTTAAATTTCCCACATATAAAGTTAACCATAATATATATAAGGAAATATATAGTGCAGATTTAGAAAACATTAGATTGTTTTTTTTTTTTTTTTGAGAAACTGACCAAATTACTGGGTGAAAATAATGTATGGTAAGTTTAGGTTTTGGATTTAATAGCCTGGCATATACAAATATTTGTGCCTCTAGATTCAATTAATTATTGTTATTGCTCTCATTTTTAATATGACAAGGATAGATTAGTTTTGTGGTTGTATTGTTTTTAAAGGAAATAGATACTTATAACAATTGTGATATCCTTGCTGAAACGTTTTTCATAAAAAAAAGACAAGTAATAGCTGGAAATAACTTTGAGTTTGTTATTTTTCAAATTAATTAACTCTAATAACTGGCAGTACATCTGACTGGAGGATAACTAAAATATGACTGTAAACTTAAGAGGAAAAAATCATAATAACAATATTATACCATATTAAATCACTGCAAATTCTCACTCTTGATTTAGGGTAGTGGTTCTTAACAGGTTGAGCGAGTAAGGGAAGAGGGAATTTTTATTTTGCCTCGGTGGGATATTTGGCAATGTTTGAAGACTTTTGTAACAACTGGAGAAAGCAGGCACTTTTACATTTAGTAGGGGAGACAAGAGGTACTGCTAAATATCTTCCAATGAACATGGCAGCCCCTAAAAAGAAGAATGACCTGGTCTAAAATGACAGTGGCTAAATTGAGAAACTCTTACTTAGGGGATTAATAATAGCATTCCATCAGGAAATGTCCATAACTAAGGAGATTTGGGAGACTGCCAGCTCCCTCTCTAACTTCCAATCATATTCTCATCAGAAGCTCTAAATTCCAAATCTGTTGAAATATAAATTTTAAAAAATAAATAAGTGATTCATTTCAAACTTGAATCTTTCATGGAATGCTTGTATCATCTGAGCTATAAAAAATTAACATATTTGGAGAAAAATGGTGAAGAGTAGTTCATTCCTACATATAATTTCTTTTCTATTTCTATTCTTCCTTTTCCTCCAAAGACGTATTCATACATGAAACTTTACAATTCACCTAGGTAATTTTCTTGGGAGTAGTATTTCTATCTCCTTTTTTTTTTTTTTTTTCTTTTTTTGAAATGGAGTCTCGCTCTGTCACCCAGGCTGGAGCGCTGTGGCGCGATCTCGGCTCACTGCAAGCTCCGCCTCCCGGGTTCACGCAATTCTCCTGCCTCAGCCTCCCGAGTAGTTGGGACTACAGGCGCCCGCCACCACGCTCAGCTAATTTTTTTGTGTTTTTTAGTAGAGACGGGGTTTCACCGTGTAAGCCAAGATGGACTCGATCTCCTGACCTCGTGATCCGCCCGCCTTGGCCTCCCAAAATGTTGGGATTACAGGCGTGAGACACCGCGCCCGGTCCCTATCTCCATTTTTAAATGGTGCTTCATATCTTAGAGAAAACCTTGTAGGGAGATATGATACTACATATATTATTAGGCCTTGGACTAATTCTCCAAATAAATATCTGGGAGTAAATTTAATGAAACTTTAATTTTCTCTAAATGAAGGTCATGAAAATAATACTCAAATTTGTAAACTGAAATTATTTGTGGAGGTCGTGAATAGCAATTCATTTTTCAATGAAAGAGTTTTATTTGACACTCATATAATCTGGCATTATATTTGGTGACTTTAGCAAAGCAGACTGAAGCAGTTACCTTCTCTGGCCCTATAAACTATGAATGATATGATATTTCAATCCAGGGCTTAATTTTATTCAGAAATTTGGGTAAATAATTCAATCGTTCTAATATTAATATTTGATTTGGAGAACAATCAACACATATCAAAGCCTCTATATATTGTTAGGTTATTGTTTTTTTCTAAAAACAGCCTTTTGCTTACACATGACTTAAATTGATTGTACTTAAATTGATTGATTGATTGACTGATTGATAGTGTCTATCTACCACGTAAACTTTCTTAGACTACATATCACTACATAAATGCATTGGAGGAGAGATCCAAGGAAGGTTGAGCTACACAGTTTTCACTTAGTATAGTATTGATATTGTGATTAACTAGTACAAAGAAATCATGAGCTATGACTCACTTAATTAAAGAAACTCCAATAAGAAGAGAGTGAGGACTGGCAGGGTTCAGGGAGTGTAGAAAAAGCACTGTCTGAAATGAGTAATATATGTTTGTGGAAAACAGAAAGAGGTATCCGAATTAGTAATTGTGGAATTAAAGTTTCTTTAGATATTTATTGATGTCTTAGCGGTGAACATGCACTTAAAGGAAAACACTCTTTTGGCAAATAGGGAGCTTGTTGATTGCCCACCCAATATCTGTTCGCTGGATTCTCCTTGCTGATGAAAGAAACATCGATATTGTTCAAGTTTTCACCCTCCCAGGTGTTCCTGGAAAATGGCCCCTCTGCGACTCCATGGGTTGAATGCTGATTCATCTTGGAACTAATCATGACCATGATAGTTATTGTTGCAGGGATTGGTTGAAGCAAGTGTAAGTAAAGCCAATGAGACTGGTGCAGAATTCCAGTGATTTCTAGGAAAGGTTTTCCTCCTGATGGAGAGATAGGGAGAGACCCATCATTTCCTCCGTTTGGGCTTGTTCTGTAAAGGCTCTGGGTCTGCAGCAGCTGCATTTCTCTCGGGACTAGAAAGGCAGAGCCCAGTGAGCATAAGAGAAGCCAGCATGGAACCTTGATATCACTGAACCACTGAATTACGTGAAAGAATGCCTCTTCTTTGTTATTTAAGCCACTCTTAGTGTTTTTCATGCTTTCAAATAAAAGGCATCCTTACAGGATAGAATGTTTTATCTTTGCTCAAATATTCTAATTTCTAAATGGAGGCTATGGCTATGGCATAATTGTATATTATAGTGTTATTTATATTTTCCAGATTGTCTTTTTTGGTACTTTAGTATGATGTCAAAAATAATAGAGTAGTAAAACAGGTTAAGAACATTGGTTAGAATTGAGGCATCTGCATTTCCATTCTATCTCTACCACTTATTATATAATCAGATGTAAGCCAATTAATCAAAAACTGACCAGGTGGCTCATACCTGTAATCCCAGCGCTTTGAGAGACCAAGGCAGGAGAATCACTTGAGGCCAGGGCTTCAGGATCAGCCTGGGAAAACACAGTGATAACACCCCATCTCCAATCAATCAATCAATCAATCGATCAATAGAAATTAGCCTGGAGTGGTGGCCTTCACCTGTAGTTCTAGCTACTCAGGGGGCTGAGGTGGGAAGATTGCTTGAGCCCAAGAGTTCCAGGCTGCAGTGGGGTACGACTGAGCCGCTGCACTCTAGCCTGAATGACGGAGCCAGACTCTGTCTCTCAAAAAGAATTTTTTTAAATCTTGAAAAACATTTGTCTTCACCTCTAAAAAAAGGAATTAGAGTAATTCCTATGTCATATCACTTTAGAGCAAATGAGATTTGAGCAACTGAAATATTTCTATGCATCTAAGAATACAAATACATATAATACATGTGAAAGAGCTATATAAATATCATTTCTTATTCTAAGACAAGCTTTGAGGTTCTCCCATTTTAATTCAAACTCTTGCTAAATTCATTTACATGTCTCCTTAAATCTCAGTCTACACTTGAGGTCTTGAATTTGTATTTAGGAGAAGGAAAGTTGACAGTGTTGTGTGAAGTCTCAGCAGGCACCTCTTCTAAATTCAGAGCCCAATACATTGCCTCTGATGTCACTTCATTTTTATTTCATATAATCTGCACAGACAAAAGTTCGCATACAATCTTGCTGCAAAAGGAATTGCGGTTTTGGACCACGAATTTTAAATCATTATTACTAGGCTCAAACACATCTTTATTAGTCAAAGTAGGAACCATTACAATCATCACATTTTTGTCAACGAGAAATAAGTTTGTTTATTCCTGTAGAATAAAAATCTGTGCTTCGGGATTCGACGAACTCTTGGAAAGCATTTTCTGCATCCTGCTAGTTGTGGAAGCGATTTCCCTGCAAAAGGTTCTGGAGATGCTTGAAGAAGTGGTAGTCGGTTGGCGAGAGGTCAGGTGAATATGGCAGATGAGGCAAAACTATGTAGCCCAATTTGTTCAACTTTTGAAGCATTGTTTGTGCAACGTGTCATTGGGCATTGTCGTGGACAAGAATTGGACCCTTTCTGTTGACCAATGCCGGCTGCAGGAATTGCAGTTTTCGATGCCTCTCATCAATTTGCTGAGCATAATCTTTGAAGTAATGGCTTCACCGGGCTTCAGAAAACTGCAGTGGATCAGACCAGCAGCAGACCACCAAACAGTGACCACGGCTTTTTTAATGCAAGTTTGGCTTTGGGAAGTGCTTTGGAGCTTCTTCTTGGTCGAGCCACTGAGATGCTTGTCACCAGTTGTATAAAATCCACTTTTCGTCGCACGTTACAATCTGATCGAGAAATGGTTCACTGTTGTGTAGAATCAGAAAATGACACTTCAAAACAACATTTTTTTTTTTTTTTACTTTCGCTCAGCTCATGAGGCACCCACTTATCAAGTTTTTTCACCTTTCCAATTTGCTTCAAATGCCGAACAACCGCAGAATGGTCAACTTTGAGTTCTTCGGCAACCTCTTGTGCAGTTGTAAGAGAATCAGCTTCTATGATCACTCTCAGCTGGTCCTTGTCAACTTTCTTTTTTTTTTTTTAAAAAAATTATACTTTAAGTTCTAGGGTACATGAGCACAACGTGCAGGTTTGTTACACATGTATACACGTGCCATGTTGGTGTGCTGCACCCATTAACTCGTCATTTACATTAGGTATATCTCCTAATGCTATCCCTCCCCACTCCCCGCATCCCACAACAGGCCCTGGTGTGTGATGTCCCCCTTCCTGTGTCCAAGTGTTCTCATTGTTCAGTTCCCACCTATGAGTGAGAACGTGCGATGTTTGGTTTTTTGTCCTTGCGATAGTTTGCTGAGAATGATGGTTTCCAGCTTCATCCATGTCCCTACAAAGGACATGAACTCATCATTTTTTATGGCTGCATAGTATTCCATGGTGTATATGTGCCACATTTTCTTAATCCAGTCTATCATTGTTCGACATTTGGGTTGGTTCCAAGTCTTTGCTATTGTGAATAGTGCCGCAGCTTTCAATGGCCGGTCACTATGCTCCTCATCTTCAAGGCCCTTGTCTCCTGTGCAAAATTTCTTGAACCACCACTGCACTGGACCTTCATTAGCAGTTCCTGAGCCAAATGGGTTGTTGGTGTTGTGAGTTGTCTCCACTGCTTTACAATCCATTTTCAACATCAGTAAGAAAATTGCTCCAATTTGCTTTTTGTCTAACATCATTTCCATCGTCTGAAATACATATAAAACAAACAGCAAATAATAAGTCATTACCAAAAACAAAACGAGAAATGCACATTAAAATGATGTATAACATATTTCACACTTAATTCAGAATGTATTCCAATATCAAATGGCAAATTTCAACAATGCAAACACTGCAATTACTTTTGCACCAACTTAATAATTGAGGCAGTTTAAACATAGTAATTTGGTATGCAGTTTATTTATAATTTTTAGTGATGAGAATGTTCTCAAATATTGATATTTCAGATTTCAGGTCAAATGTTACTTTTTCATGGAGACCTCCTGACTTTTCACAAGCCACCCTCCTGCCCCACCACCTCCTAAATGACTGTCACCCCTATTCCTAGCATACAACACCTGATAAGTTCCTCTACCTCCTTATGCATGTTCTTTGTTGTATATCCACAGCTTACAATTATACATTAATGCAATCATTTGATTGATCTTTATTTCAGCCAGGAAACTGCAAGCTGTGTGAGGCCAATCCCCATTTCATGAAATTCTCCCTTAACTCTCAGCATTTACAGTTCCTGTATTAATTGCCCATTAATTAAAATTATCTAAAAAATGAATAATAAGAGCTTTCCCAAATAAGAGAGCTAACAACGATTTTTGTTTTGTTTTGTTTTTTGAAAATAATTTGATGATTTACACTATATTACTTGAAATAATGTCTTTTAGGGATTTCATTGTCTCTTTTAATGGCATAAAATTAAGTACAATTCTTATATATAAACGCATATATCTTGAATAATCTATAATATATCTATATTAAATATATTACATTGTCTTTTTTACTAGCAGACATATTTAGTTAAATGTAGCTAGAAAATACAACTGGCTTGTGAACTGAAGTTTAACTGAAAAAAAAAACTATGTAAAGATAGCTTCATATTGAAAATTATATTGATTGTTATCAAGGGGAAAAAAGTGAGAATCCTGTAAATAAATCCAGTTGAGCAAATCATAGAACTGTTTAAAATGAATAAATCATAGACAGGAATGAAAATAATAAAAATACTTTCTAAAATAAGTAATTACTTTTCTACTTTACAGTATGATGTTATTTGCCTGTAGTATTAGAATTATTGCTATTTGGGAAGTTTGGGTTCTAAAAATCTTACCAACTGGATTTCTAGCTTTCGCTTTGTGAATGGGGTTTTATATGCAGAAATAATATTTTGACAACTGTGTGTCAGCAATAATCACCTGGGATTCTGCCTTTATGAATCACAGTCCAAATTCTACTTCATAGGCTGAATAGTCAATCCAGGAACATCAAATTTTTGACATATGTGATATGTGATTCTTGGTCACTTGAAATTTTTCTGACTAAACTCTATTTTAAGTATGTCACTTTCACCTATTATGCTGACCTTTCAAGGAAGGATGTCTGATTAAATTAGAAAAACATGGCAAAATCTTACAGGCTTTTTTTTTTTTTTTTTTTTTTTTGACCCTTTCCTTGAAACAAAATGCACTCTGAAAAAAAAAAGGGAAAACGTGGACAGGTGCTAGAAATCAGATAAGATAGAATTTATTCTAGCGACTTTTAATTTATAAAAAGTAAAATGTTTTCTTGGTGCTTTAAAAAAATAGAAGTGATTTTTCTGTTGCTAACACTATGTCTCTTTATGAATTGTGTTCTCTTCATCAAAACAGTGTTTATGTTTTAGGAGATTGGATTAGAATTTTAAAAATATGGCATGTACTATATTTCATTTCTTTTACTTTGATGTAAGCTTAGTGGGATTTAAAATAAAGGAGACTTGAAACATAAGTGCATGGGTTTTATTTCCTCCAGCTTTACTCATGAATTCATTTGTGCTTTATAATCCTTACCTAACATATATTAACTATAAAGTTAAATAAAAAGCTAAGATGTAGTCAAATAATTTTCATTTCTATTTTGACAGTTTAAATATTTCATATATTTGCTATAATCATTCTTTATTTTTTTAAAGTAGATTTAAAAATTTCAAATAGAAGACAAAATTCTGCTTCTGCTAGTTTCTCATATTGATAACATTTTTTCTCTAAAACAAATAACTTTGGCACTAAGCTCTGTTTTGTTGTGCAACTTCAAATTAGCATATTTTCTGGTCAAAAATGCACAGTTATTAAAATAAAAGTGACCAAAAATATACATATTATAATTTTAAAAGAATGGCTTTCATATTCAATTCATTATACATTAAATGTGTTGAAACATGCAAAATAGTGTATGGCAGACTGAATAGGTTTGTGCATTATTAAGAAATGGCCTATTCCTTTAATATTTTATAAAGAGTATATTCAGACTAAACATTATGTTTTCAAGCTTCCAAATGTTCTTTTGTATGAAGGATATAAGAACAAGATACATACCCTGATGGAAAGGAGTTTCAACTGTTTCATTCCATTACGTGTAAAACAAGAATTTATAAAAATAATTCACACAAAAGCTTTGCTTATTTAAAATATTGCCTCCTTTATGAAAATTTTTAATTATTTGGACCCTTAGGCTTATTACACTCTGGTGCTTAGTTTCTTTTGAAAGATTAAAAAAAGAAATTAAATTTAGTCTATAAAAACTATGGTATAGTATACTTTTTACGTAAGTCCCATGTCCCAAATGATAGTCATTGAACCTAAGAATGCTTAATGGCTATGATGTATACAACATAAACCACCTTAAGTATTTCTGCAACCTTAATAGCTGTAGATTACCATTACTTTTTTTCCTACATATGATGCTCACTTTATTGAGAAATAATTATGTGAATAAAAATATTACCAAAGTAATGTATGAGATTCCTTGGGAGTTGCTAAAATCATTCATCTCCATTGCATGTGACATAAGAAGAAAAATGTCAAAGGGGCTGATACACTTGGATTTTTCTGATATACTTAAAATCATATTATTACACATTATTTTTATTAATTTTGTTAATAAGGCAGTTTGATATACATAAACTAACAGATCAAAATTGTTACCTTTAAACTTGTATACAGTAGTTGTTAGAAATGCAAAATTCTGGGCCCCAATCATGACCTGTTGCATTAGAAACCCTGAGGATGGGGCCCAGCAATAGGATTTTTAATAGGCTGTCCATGGGATTCTGATGCTACTCAAGTTTGGGGATTGCTGTGTTAGAAGATCGTTATCTGATGTAATGAGGCACACAGTACTTACTAAGATATTCAGCTGCTGCTTGATTCAGGGCTGTAGTTCATCTCAACCTCTAAATACAGCACTGTGTATAATTCATGATTAATATAACTGTTGATATTTTTAAAATATTGGATTTTACAATAAACACACAGGAAGAGAAAAGACGCGTTTCCCTGGCAACTTGGGAAATCTATTCCTGGAAATTTGTCATAGGAATTTATTTCCAAGTCATCAAATTTATCTCATGTATTCTTGGAATTTAGTTTGAACCACATGTAGTATCTTCAATATTTACAAATACTTGTACAGTATTTATATATCTGGAATCCATTGCTCATGATAAAAGAGATGATACTAAAACCCAAAAACTAAATAAACAATGAATTAAGTGATAGGAAAATGGGAATACAGAATTGGAAAGTCCCTGTCATGCAGTTACTAGAATATAAGGTTGTCTGGGAAATGACTATTAACTGTTCCTAGAGTGTTACTAGGATCAGACTGTGATGAATTTTGTGTGCCACCCTAAAATGCTCACATCAATCAAAGACAACATTTTAAGCAGGTGATCAGGGAGGATAGTGTAATTGAAGAACAAATAGGAATCAGAAAGGGCACTGTAAAAGTTCCCATTATAGGTTAATGGGACCTAGAATGAGCCTTTTATTCTTTGGTTATATATCTTGAGGATTTAGCATCAAGTAGAACTTTTATTATTTTGTTAAGACTCCAGGAAGGGCTATTCTTAAAAATCAAATCTTCATTATTTTCTTTTCTTTTATGTTAATCAGATTATAGTATTTATTATAAAGGCACAAAACAAAGAGAAGTCATATGTGGAAAACTGAGTAACTTGTAGGACCTATAGAGGACTCAGTGAACATGAAAATTATCTAGTAAACTAAGGAAAGCAAAAGAAACAAACAAAAGAGTGTGTGTTGGGGGACAGAAAAGTACTCTCGCAGTAGAAGTTATTATATTTCCCTTCTGTATAACAGTCAATATTCTTTTGGGCCTAAGGTTAAGAATAAGCTAATTTTTTAAAAAATGTAAATGGCTACCTCCCTTCTCAATGTAAAGTGACAAGACCAAGAATCCAGCAATCGGGGAGACAGCCTAGCCTATTCAAGAAAGGAGAGATGCAATGCAATGTTTTAAAAGAATTTTAACCATTTTGGATGGTCTATACTTGGATACTATTCCATGCCATGGAATCCCAGGAAAACTGATAGCCGCACACTTCATAGGTTTACTCAAAAGTCTTCAATAGGATTTAAATCTTGTGGGTGATATGAGTCAATTTGGTAAACTGTGTTTGTCCAGAAATTCCCTGAATAAATATGTAATCTGTATCCGTATTGTTGGATGGATGTACTAGGTAGCCATTTCTTAAGTTGAATTAGTAACACAATTTTGATGGAAATTTGCCTATCCTGAGTGCTGAAAAGGCAGCAAATAAGCCATAAAAATATTATATGTAGAATCTTGTGAAAACGTTTATTGATAGAGCTGCTTCCATTTTCCATTAAAGGCAGCAAAATTTTACTTTATTTAGAGCAGTAAAATATATTTGAATGAGTAATCAAATTTTAGAGGTGGCAGAAGCGGCAGCGACTATAGAAATCATCTAGTGCAATACTCTAATTAGATAGACAAGCAATTGAGGCTCAAGTAGGCTTAGTGACTTGATGAAGGTCACGTCATTACCTTCTGGGTCTGGGTTCGGTGCTCTTTTCATTCCTCCTCTCTGTGGAGGAGTACTGGTCTGTGCACAGTGACAAAGAAGGATTTAAGATTGTGTAGTTTAATATTATCAGATTATACTTTATAGAATTTCAAGACTACTTCAACCGAGTGTCATGCATTGCAGCAGCACCCAAGATAATATCCAAATCTGGAGACACAGCAGACAAAATAGAGCTACTTTTCTCAGCAGGTGAAAAATGCTGATCTTTCATAAGCCCAAGAGAAAAATCAGGTTGTATAGGATTATTATTAGCTTTCCATTCTCGTGAATGTGTATCCCTTCATCACAACTTGATTTATGATCCAGAGACTGAGCTGTCACTTGACGACTAAAGATTCTTAACTCATTTTCTGACAAGTAGAAATTGATTTTAGCTTGAATTCAAAGATTAATCTAAATCTGCTTGCATTGAAAGAGTATTTTCAAATGTTGCTATGTAACTAAAATAAATATCACATAGTTTCAATTTCTGTATAAGCCAATTAATTTTTGAAGATCTTTTAAAAATTAGTATATCATTTTCCTACAACTAGTCTTAAAACAGAAGGATTGGATATGTTATCTTCTAGCCAGTAAATTCTCAAGATTTAAAATATCTCTAAATTGTTGGCTTTATTTTGTGCTTTCTGAACTGCTAAAATAATCACTAAATACATGTTGTTCATATGTAGCTTTCAAAATAATTGGATAATATAAATTAGAGTAACAAGTTAGTCCTTCAACAATTTTTGGAGACTAAAATATAAAACAGAACAAATGAGCTTTATAACTCCCAAAAAACCTTTGTGGTGAAATTTGCTTTAGTGATTATCTCTTGGAAAATAAACACTTTTATTTTCTGAAATAAGTGATTCTGATTCAAAGAAAAGTTTAGGAGAGGAAAACATTTAGGGGAAGGTTAAGTGTAATAGCATTATTTCAGAAGTGAAAATATATGAGGTAATATTCGTTTCTAGAACCTATCAAATTCTTAATAGTTTATGTAGCATACAAGGGGCTTGTAGAATCTTTAGTACACTGAAATTTGTTCACTCTGTTATCCAACAACTGCTTTAGCTCCTGCTGTGTACTAGGTACTATTGTTGGCAGTAGAGATGCAAACAATACAATAGCTAATATTTCTCTAAAGGGCTATATACTATTCCTAGTGCTTTCGATATATCATTTCATTTAATTCTCACCACAATCCCATGAAGTTTTACAAGAGAGAACAGTAAGGCCCAAAGAATTTAAATAAATCGAACAAATTCACAAATCTAGTAAGTAAAAACATCAGGAATGGAAATCAGACAATCTGATTCCCATAAAATGCACGTCACCACTACTTTATACTACATATGGTAAGAGAAGTAAGCTATTTCCAAGGAAATCTTAAAGTTTAGTGGAAAAGACCAATACAGAGCCTCATACATTATGCCAAGGGTTTGGCTTCCATCTTAATGCAAAATTGTTATGAAGTCTGGGAATTAGGATGTTTACTCCATGGACTTAGACTAGAGGTGCAGAGATCAGACGGTCTACCAAAGTCATCAGAGAAAGAGGTCTAACAAGATATGGAAAGGAGGTAATAGATGCCAGGTGATTTATGCTATCTGTTCTATAAGAAAGGGTGTCAACTAGGCAGAAAGGGGGTAGAGAAATCAAGGATAATTTCCATGATATTGTGATTGATGATAACTGATGCATGTCTTGGTTTCTCCTAGATCAATGTTTCCCAAACTTTAGAGTACATCAGAACCATCTGAAGGATACCACCCTTATAGTTATGGATTGCCTTGCTAATGGTGCTTGTCCAAAGATCACACTTTAAGAACCAATGTCCTACATTAATACTAAGGCTTTCGCCTGCAAATAAATTTAAATGGCTTGGTATTATGAAAGTTTAAAGGACAGAACTTCAATGAAACTTTAAAAAGAGATGTGATCTGTTATATATATATATATACACACATACGTCTAGGTGTGAATATATCTATGTATACATCTACACATATATCTGCATCTATAACACATATCCTAACATACCCAGTGGTATCCCATGTGCTATTTCAATATATGAAATTGTTTCATGGCCCCTATATTATAAATAATTTCTAAATTGCTGGAAATTTAGAAGATAGGAAATTTTTACACAGATTCCTCCAGGCAGTTGAAGAAATTTATATAATGTACTTCTAGAGTTTTAGCAGAGTCAATTATGGGTATTTTGGAGGTAGAGTATATATAGAAGCTAAAAATAAAACTTTTTTCTAAATATTAATTTTATATTGTATGCTATTTGCTATCTAAAACTGATAGTTTCTAAAAATAATTATAAAATATACTCATGACATTTGGTTGACAAAAGGGAGGTAATCATGAAACTTTAAATAGAATTTTAAACAATAATAGCCTTAGGAAATGTCTACCATATCACTTTTTCCCCCAACGTTCAATTTCCCTTTGAAAAGCACTGAAATGATAGATACAACATTTGTAGAAATTATGATTCTTAATAGAAACTTTGGTCTATATTTACCGCAATGTTTAAATGGGAGAGGAGTTATTGTTTAATCTGTTACTAGATCAGGGGCTGTTCCATAGGAAGTGGCTGTAAATAAACAGAGCATGAAACCTCTCAAGGCACTTATAAGTAAATGAGCTAACTTTTGTGGCCATAGGCCTGCTTTAAACATACCAAAAAAAATCTCATGAGTATTAACATTGATTTCATCCCAAAATGTTTACAGCAAAGTAAAAGGATGTTTTAATTGTTTAATTATTGGTCTTTATTCAAAATTGACATAAACTGTTACTTATATTAACGTGCTTTTAGAGTACTTCCTCAGGAAATAGACACTTTTGAATTGTCATCTTAGAAGAATAGGATATCTCTCATCAAATACTGTGGCCAAAGTGCACCAAAAAAAGAAGATTTTTAAAATGTAAAAGCCATTTATTTAAATTGTACATACTTTATTTTTATTGTTATAATCATTAGGAATTTCATGGATTGATTTAGACCAGTGAGCCATCAAATCTTTCAATAGCCTCACGCAGTAGAGATCCCCTTTATGCCTTTTCAAAAAAGAGCATGGATCCGGCACAATGCTAAATGAAGATTATGTTCAAAAAATTGAAATGACTGAACAGTTAACTAGCTGTAACATGTTTAACAATAGAATGGGGAAATCCTCTTTTAACCTTTTAGCTAATTATTAAATATCTTAATATGAAAGAATCTAAATATTATTTATAGAATATTCTATAAAATATAACTAATGAAAAAATGAAAAGGTTACCTGTACAAAAGGAACTATAACATTATATTTATAAAATCTTTAAGTCCGGAATTCTGCACGATACCTACAGAGTTTGGGAAAAAAAATTAAATTGTTTTTAATGAGACTAGATTTCTCTTTACTTTTCTAGTAATACTTTTGTGTTTCTTTTGGAATATACAATGTAGCTGGTCTATAAGCAATAATTCAAATTAAATAGAAAGCTGTCATGTTAATTAATATAACCCAATCTGTACTACTAAGTGGCGTTGAAAGATCTTGCTTTCACTTGATTCTAGGTGATTAAGAATCAGTCATTAGTAATGTATAAGCACTTTTTCCCTAGATATTTCAGAGTCAAAAGAAAGCTAGAAACAAGTCTTACCCACAAGGACCAAGTATACTAGTGTGTTTTGTCTTGTTCTTGCACTAGAGCTATCAAAGTCAAGAAAGAATATGGTCTATAGTGGTTGGAAATTTCATTCTAGCTGTCAATTATTTCATGTATAATGCGGGTTTTAAAAAAATTCTTTTTAAAATAATTTTAGATATACGGAAAAGTTGCAAAGATAGTACAGAGTTGCCATTCTCTCCACCTACTTTCTCATAATGTTAAATCTTACATAACTGTGGTACACTATCAAAGCTAAGAATTTATGTAGGTACATTACTATAAGCTACAGACTTTATTCAGATTTCACTATATTTTCCAGTTACTTCCTTTTTCTGTTCCAGGATCCAATCCAGGGTATCACATTGCATTTAGTAGGAAGGAATTTTTTTCTTTTCTATTTATAGTCAATAATATATTTTACCACATATCATTTTGTCATCAGTTTAACTTTTTAAAATTAATAGGTTTATTTTTAGAGCAGTTTTAAGTTTACAGAATGATTGAACAGAAAGTACAGAGAGTTCACATATATTCCCCATTTACCCCCACAGTTTCCTCCATAATTAACATCTTGCATTGCTGGGGTATGTTTTTTGAAAATTGATGAACCAATATTGATACATTATTTTAACTTAAGTACGTAGTCTGCATTAGAGTTCACTCTGTGTATTCTACAGTTCTGTTGGTTTTGCCAAATGCATAATACATATTTTCACCATTTCAATATCATACAGAATGGTTTAATTGCCCTAAATATCCCTTATGCTCCACCTACTCATTCCTTTCCTCCTCCCACTCATCCATGGCAACCACAGATCTTTTTGCTGACTGTCGTTTTCCCTGTCAGAATGTCACTTAGTGATATGCATGTAAGATTCCTGCACATCTTTTCACATATGATGCTGTTTTGTGTTTGCTTTGACCATCTATGTATCCTTCCAGTTCTACACATGCCATTTTGAATTCTGAGTTTACAAAAGAAGCCTCTGTCCTTGTGTGCCTTCCATTTTGTACTTATTGAGGTGTGCTTCTTTTTGAACTTAGTTTTCTTTTGGAATTATTAATGGTAACATTACAACAAACCTTTCAGTGCAGTTTACTATTAGAAAATATCTGCACATATGAACACTTTCATTTCTTTTCATATTATCACTTGTAAGATGACAGTGTGCATTTCTTTTACATTTCTTGTTATTTTTACAATACCATACTATTATTTATTTTTGCTTAAATGGAGTGCTGAATACTAGGCTTGCTCCTCGTTTCCAAACACTCTGTGGTTGTGTTTTGTTTTGGTTTGATTCTTTTTACAGTAATAACATATGGCAATTGTTTATATTTTCAATGCCCAAAGCTGATTATTAAACTTTGGGTGTTTAATAAGAGTTGAGGAAAAAAGTCCAGAATAGGCATAATTTACCAATTGAAATATACCAGTTTATTGACCTACTTTAGTTGAACTGTTTGAAATAAATTAAGAAATAACAATCATATCGTTCTTATAGTATCAATAGTAAGCATTGAATAAAACCACTGGATTTGATCGATGATTTAACAGGGTAAAAATAAAATTGAATTTACCCTCATAAAATAAGACAAGTTCTTTTTCCTTTCCAGGAAGAAAAGAATTCATCCTCTAAACAAAATTTTGTTTTCTTGATAGAGGAGGGGAGACAGGGACAGGGATTAAAAAGTTGATATTCTTTTGCCTACCTGAGTCATTGTTCTCAAAACTTTGCTGCTAATGAATTACTTTATTTTCTATAATTCAAACAAGTTAGAAACATTCTATTTTAGTTGTGTGTATTACATATATTCACAAACAGACACACACACACACACATAATAGTGTATTTACCTTTATATAGAGATTCTTCAAGGAAATATACAAAAATATTTAAAATAATATCCATCATATCAACTTCTTAATAAAACTACTGTGTGAACATACTCAATTTCCAGATATGTATATACACATATATTATTTGAGCTAAATCAATTCTTAGCACAGTTATTTAAAGCAATATAGAATGATCTTCATAATATAGCTCTTTGAAAGATCTTATCTTGCAATCTTTTCTTTATAAATTTGTCTGAATTTATAACATTCAATAGCTTATATCCTTCCATTCTTTTCACTAAGTTGATTTAAATGAGTCAAATTTTTTAAAATCTGCTTTTTCTATATTGTCTATTTCAAATAATGTATTAAATATCCACTTAGTCACCTAATGTAGAGACCTTTGAGTCAATTCTTATTTGTTGTTTTATTTTTATTCATATTCAGTATTTATCGTTTCCTGAGGAATTTTTTTTTCTCAAGTGTGTCTAGAATCGATTTCTCACTCTCCATTTCACTGTTGCTTTATTTCCTTCAGTCAAACAATATCATCAAAGAAGACACCACTGTGTAATAATATCTTTGGCTTTAAAATAAGTTGCATAATTTAGTTAAAAAAGAAAAATTAACATCAAAATAATAAAAAAATGAGATGTAGTGTTAAAAATGAATAGATGCTAATTTTGGAAAGGAAATCCTTACAGTAGTTCTCACTTACATGTGATTTTGATTTCTGTGCTTTCAGTTACCAGAAGTCAACAGAGGTCTGAAAACATTACATGGAAAATTCTAGAAATAGTTCATAAGTTTTGAATTGCCCACTGCTCTGAGTAGTATGATGAAATCTCTCTCTGTCCTGCTCCATCCCACTCAGGGCATGAATCATCCCTTTCTCCAGGGTATCCTCCATGTATACACAGGACCAGCCCATTAGTCACTTAGTAGCTGTCCCAGCTATCAGACTAACTGCTGCAGTTTCACATGGCTTGTGTTCAAATAAACCTTATTTAACTTAATAATCCCCCAAAGTGCATGAGTAATGATGCTGCCAATTCAGATAGGCCAAAAAAAAGTCATAAAGTATTTCTCTAATGACAACTGATGATGAGCTTTTATTCATATATTTGTTGGCTGCATAAAGTCTTCTTTTGAGAAGTGTCTGTTCATATCCTTTGCCAACTTTTTTGATGGGTGGTTTGTATTTTTCTTGTAAATTTGTTTAACTTCCTTGTAGATTCTGGATATTAGACCTTTGTCAGATAGGTAGATTGCAAAAATTTTCTCCCATTCTGTAGGTTGCCTGTTCACTCTGATGATAGTTTCTTTTGCTGTACAGAAGCTCTTTAGTTCAATTAGATCCCATTTTTCAATTTTGGCTTTTGTTGCAATTGCTTTTGGTGTTTTAGTCATGAAGTCTTTGCCCATGCCTATGTCCTGAATGGTATTGCCTAGGTTTTCTTCTAGGGTTTTTATAGTTTTAGGTTTTACATTTAAGTCTTTAGTTCATCTTGAGTTAATTTTTGTACAAGGTATAAGGAAGGGGCCTAGTTTCTGTTTTATGCATATGGCTAGCCAGTTTTCCCAACAACACACATATGTTTATTGCAGCACTATTTACAATAGAAAAACTTGGAACCAACCCAAATGTCCATCAATGATAGACTGGATAAGGAAAATGTGGTATATATACACAATGGAATACCATGCAGCCATAGAAAAAATGAGTCCATGTCCTTTGCAGGGACACAGATAAAGCTGGAAACGATCATCCTCAGCAAACTAACACAGGAACAAAAAACCAAACACCACATGTTATCATTCATAAGTGGGAGCTGAATAATGAGAACACATGAACACAGGAAGGGGAACATCACATACCAGGGCCTGTCGGGGGTGGGGGTAAGGGAAGGCAGAGCATTAGGATGAATACCTAATGCATGCGGGGCTTAAAACCTAGATGATGGGTTGATAGGTACATCAAACTGCCATGGCACATATATACCTATGTAACAAACCTGCACGTTCTGCACATGTATCCCAGAACGTAAAGGAAAAAAAAGCCACAGAGTGCTTTTCTAAATGTAAGGTTTCTAAGAAAAGAAAAAATCTTACAATAAAGTTGCTAAGATGTATGGTAAGAATAAATCTTCTATCCATATAATTGTGAAGAAGAAAAAGGAAATTTGTGCTAATTTTGCTTTGGCACCTCACACTGCAAAAGTTACAGCCACAGTGTGTGATAAGTGCTCAGTTAAGATGAAAACAACATTAAATTTGCAGACACGAACAGAATCGTGTTTCAATTGACCGCAATCAGTTCAATACTGTCTAGGATTTCAGGCATCCACTGGGGGTTTTGTAATGTACCCCCTAGAAAAAGGGCAGAATACTGTATTTACATTTAACCTGACCTCAGGAATAATTCCTCACCCCTGAGGAATTTTGGTCTAGAAGTATAATATAGGGCATCAAAAGATGCTAGTATGAAGGTGGAAATAATGACTACTAACAATTGAGAAAACAAAATGACTCATATATTAGTGCAAAATAAATTCAGTAAAAATCAGTCAGTTCTTTGACAGTAGCATGGAGTAGCTGGTCAAAAAGGAGGAAAACCAGAATGGAAAAGTCTGTATGTTTTGCCTATGGAATATTAAGGAAAAATAATGGATCGTGCATTAGGCTAGGAGAGTAAAACACCATGAGAAAGAAAAAGGCATTTGGGTGTAATGATGTTATATTCTAGAAGTATACAATGTCTAGAATGTACAAAGATTTTTAGGGAAAAAATGCATGAACTTGTGTGTTGATTAAATGCAAATATCAGTCAGTAACACACACATGTGCTCTCTGTGTGTGGGCATTTGTGCATGTGTGTCTGTGTTTTTAAAATGTATTATTGGAAAACTAAAATATTTATTAAAATGAAAACACTAACATATAAGGCACTTAATACCAGGGTCATTATTACTGAGAATAAGAGTCTATTCAAGTACCTGTTTTTAAAGTATCTAAAAGATAATGGAGAGTAGAGTTTATGAATTTACTGTTTTACTGGAAAGAGTCTCTTCTTGGGTTTAAAAATTTTACCAATTAAGCAGAGAAGACAAGAAGCATTAAGCAAATTTATTTAAAAGCAAACAAAAGGAATTTATGAATAAATTAAGATTTTATGACAATATCAAAAGTTATACAAAATGTTTGTGTCTTTCATGAAACAGACATCCAAACTGAAATTAAATTTAGTTTTCTCTAGGTTTTTTCTTCTTAAAGATTGAAAAGTTATCAGGGAAAATTGTGCTTTTAAACTTTGTGATGACATATGCTTTTAAGGAGCCTGTATAACTTTCAGAATAATAAAACAAAAATGGCTATTTTAGAATATTCCTTGATGATGAATTAATCTTACATTGTTTTCCAGCATACCCATCTTAGGAAAGTTCTGTTTATCATGTCACTTATAGAAACAACTGGTGAATGCATCTGAATTATTTTCAATTCCTGTCACTTGCATGTCAACTTGCACCATCTTCCGCCATTCCTAAGTTAGGTATTTGCAAATAGAAAATAGACATTATTGTTTATTTGGAGTCATAATTATAAACATATAACATATTATTATTTCATTGGAGTCATATATATAATAAACTAATTGTGAAAAATAGACATCAGGAACCTGAGAATACCGAGTCAGAGAAAGCTAGAATGCCATAATGCAAATTTTGAAGCCAGCGCATACCAATCAGAGATTATAGTTCTTCAAAAGAGACAGAAAAATGGGAGCATGGTTTTTCCATTGAAACAGAAGATACTATTGCCTAAACAATCATAAAATATTATATGGTTCAAAGGATTTTATAGAGTGCTGGTTTCTACCTGAAACCAGATATGTCTGACATGGTTGTATGCACGTCTGCTTTGAAAAATATTTTCTTAGTCTATAAATATTTACCAAAAGCAATCTATTTACTGAAGCGGTACCAGACATTTTGGAAAGTATTACTTTGAGGATGGAACAACCACTATTTTATAATCTCAGTCATCTTTTGGGTTTCCTTTTCTGAAATAGAAAACCATTGAAATAAGACACATAGGAGTGGTATGTCATCCATCAGACACTAGTATGTGTTCTTCCCTTCAAGTGCTTGGTGTATATTAAAAACTGCCCACATTAAATGCATAGAATAATCTTTTTTTATTATTATTATACTTTAAGTTTTAGGGTACATGTGCACAACATGCAGGTTTGTTACATATGTATACATGTGCCATGTTGTGTGCTGCACCCATTAACTCATCATTTAACATTAGGTATATTTCCTAATGCTATCCCTCCCCCTCCCCCCTCCCCACAACAGGCCCCAGTGTGTGATGTTCCCCTTCCTGTGTCCATGTGTTCTCATTGTTCAATTCGGCATTACAAAATTCCTGTGGAAAATATGAGTTGTGGGTATTTATCTTTATAATATTTAAAAAGTTATAAGAAACTAAAATTAAGATTCTTTAAAAGCAAAAAGAATTCACTGGTGTGTGACTATGTGATAAACAATGGAGGGGTGATTGATATTAATTAATAAGAAAGTTTAGGTCAAATATTCTGCTCTCATCTCAGCTGTTATAATAAACAAATTAAATATTTAGTGAGAGTTTGCAAGTAAAAGCACCGAAATATATTTCTGTGTACAAGTACCAGCTTGTTCTCAGGTACCACTAAAATCTACCCTTAAGCAGTAGTTGTTTCAAAGGTCCTGTGGTTGTACATCCATTTCCTTGTATCTCTGGCTCTCTTTTTAGTGACAATTTGGATGGGAAAGTATATGATTCTTAACGGATATTGATTTCATGCTAATGACTTCATGATTAATTATTTAAGCATCTAATAAGTCAAATTATGTTAAATCACACCACAGACATTGCAGATATGAAAGTCTAAGTGGTAGCCAACAATTTCAGATTTTCATGGGGTATATTTTGTCAGATGAACAAATAATTCAAATTTTAAGCTAGAAGTAAAGTCAACATGGTCTTTAGGAAATTCAGACAATAAAATTTGATACATATTCCCAAGATATATGTAACTTTTATTTATATGTTTTTTGTATAGTTGGATAATAATGTGCATTCGTTATTGGAAAAAAAGATAAATTTAAAAGGCTAAAACAGATATCAATAGAGGGTACCCATGCACCTCATTTGGGAGACCTTCTAGAGTAGGTAATAGCTAATATCCTTCATTTTATGACCAATAGTGATTTCTAGAATTTAAAAATTCATATAACTTCCCCAGATGCACATATACATATTATTGAGAAAACTCCAAAATGTTGAAAATGGATCCATATTCTATGTTACTGAAATGTTTACCAGATATCAATTTGAATCTTATGTGTATTCAGTTTTTCCATAGCATTAATTCCTTACGTCATATATCACCAAAATGACGGACTGTTTCAAGTAGACCAGAATATCATTTGTACCTTTAGAACACTTGTAATTTGACATTTTTAGTATAGAATTTACTGCTTAGAAATTACAGCCTGGTATGGTGACTCATGCCTGTATTCCTAGCTACTCAGGAGGCTGATGCAGGAGGATCACTTGACCCCAGGAGTTAGAGGCTGCAGTGAGCTATGGATCATGCCACTGCACTCCAGCCTGGGTGACAGAGTGAGAACCTGTCTATAAAAAAGAAGACAATACAGACAAGTTCTAACACCTTTTCTTATTTACGCTTAACAGTAGACCCTGTAGAAGAAGTCTGATCTTTTAAGTCTGATAATAAGAGATATATTATGAAAAAGATAAAAATTATACAGGAAAAGGAACAACTGATGATGCATAAAAGCAGCAGAGGTATATCTAATTATCATACCTAAAATATGTGCCGTCGAAAGCCATGTGTGTCTAATAGTCTACTCTCAAATCCATTATCTTTACTAGAAGAAACCCGATTTTTATTCAGACATTCAGAGAATGTTTCATATATTTACTTCACTGGACTTCTAAGATACCATTATACTGGCATTCTACTCAGCTAAAGGAGTACATTTCCCAGCTTCTATCAAATTGAAGTGTGTCTGCATGAAAGAGTTTTAACTGAAGGGACATAAGTAGGGGTGTGGGACTTCTACAAAGATGCTGTACAGGAAATCTGGCATTTGGGTAGTGACTGGCACTACAGAAGCCAGTCACTTGGGGACATTAGAATGAGAGCTATGACTTAGGGTCAGCATAGTGAGGAGCAGGAAGAGGCAGCTCACTGGTGCTTTGCGGGAGATGCCACAGCACGTGCCAGCTGCCTATTTCAGTACTGTTTATACAAGAAAATTAGACTTGTGTATGACTGAAGATTTTCTAGGTTCAATCATTGGAGCATAATTCCAAACTAATATACAAACAATATATTATTTTAGGAAAAATTAACATAAATCAAACATGGATATGTGTATAAACGCACAAATTCTCCATTCTCTACATGAGCATAATAGAAATAATAGAAATAAAATAAAAGCATAGAATTTAAATATTAATATCAAAACATCCAAATCCATTTTGTGGTCTGGCATGACCTGAAGCTCAAGTAAGAAAACTTTTCTCCAAATTCTGTTTGCAATGATCCACTTACCTTTACTCTTAGAAATAGTGAGAGGCCTTTACAGAAGGCTGCAGAATAGCTTTTTGTTTTTTAAATTACAGATTTTCCACATTTAAATTTTAATATTGTTTGGTAGAAATGTTTGTTTTAATGAAGACTTCTGCCTTACCTTGAGATTATTCAGTGCATATGTTTATGTTATCTCAAATATTTGGACGCATATTTTAATTCATTTTTCTGTGGATCACGAAGGTACTCATCAACATTATGGTGTCCTTATTAATTTATATCCATGTGTTCTCTTCTTTACCTGATTAAAATTCCAAATTCTATCTCTAACTCAACAAATGATCAGAGGGAATACAACATACATAAGTCACCTATACATTAGAATTAACATAATACTCTCAGTTGTGTTCTGGTAAACCTAAAACGACCTCCTCATGCTGTTCCTTATTATGATTAAACACTCTCAGAAACTGCACAGGCCTTCTCTTTCCACCCACAACCTCCTTTCACATATGGAAGTTTTAACTTAGGGTCAAGACCATTCAAGATGTCTAGGTGATTTTACTCATCTGTTGTTATGAGTAATTCTCAGGACCTAAAACGTTCATACTGTTAAACTTTTTAGGGAGGACTAATGGAATACATACTATTATATATTTTTTAAAATGCTGGAATTCACATCATTATTCTTTCACTTATAGTTTCAACCTCCAGAAACTTAATTATACTTTTTAAAAAGAACGTGCTTACATTTTCCATCCAGTCAATGTTTTTTACAGAGTCAAAATATACTAGGGTAAAAAGTAAAAACCATCTTTGAGGTTATAGGAATATATTTAACAAAAATGACTGTGAAAAATCACAAAGGAATTGTTAATATGTTTCTAAATGAACGAAGAAATGTAGGCATTATATGTGGTGAGGAAAGTTTGAAAAGATTCATTACAAACTAGCAACTAAATTCCAGAATTTTGATAATTAGTTTGGTAAATTTAGAAAAATCACCCAAGGCTCAGTTTGTAGTATTTATCTGTAAAACTGTCTAATTATTTTTTGTCTACTATTTCATAAATATCATGTGTGTATTTATAAGCTATTATAGGTTGATGGATATAAAACCTAAACATAGATTGCTACAATAAAGCATATTTAAATAAGCACCACTGTAATAAGCACTATGCTATAAGTTAATTACTAAATGGGCTATGTATGCAATAAAAGCCACAGATGTTTGGAAAATGAAGAGTTCCATTGTGAATTGACATGGGTAAAGGAAAAGGCACTTAAATCTAGAATTTCAGCTTCATCTTGAAGCAGGTAAATGAGTCAGAGAGAAGATGAGAATGTTTCATATATTTACTTCACTTAAGATACTATGCTCTCCTGCTTTAATTTTTTCACACTTGCGGGTCCTTCTTCATTGACTTTGCTGTTGCCTCTTTATTTTCAGCCTTCTGCAAAATGTAGATTCATATATCCAACTTCCTTATTAATATCTCCATTTCTGAGATATTAAAAGGAAAAAAGTTGTTTTCCTCTTTTTCTTTGAGCCCACCCCCAAAACATATTTCTCCTGCAGTCTTCCTCATCCATGGCCACTTCTTCCTTCCAGGTATCAGGCCAAAATCTCTGGAGTCCACTTTGATTATTTTCCTTCTCTCACATTTCACTTGCAGTGGTGGCAATTCTTGTTGACTTTACTTTCAAAACATATCAGAAATATAACCATTTCTTACCCACCAGCAATGCTACCTTTCTGACCAAGCCACCACCATCTTTTACCTATTTTTTGTTAAATCCAGGCTCCCTGCCCCTGCATGTGTCCTATTATAGTTACACTCTGTGTTCATCATAGAATGATCCTGAATCTACTTATCTCACTCCTTTGCTGATGATCCTCTAAGGTTTTCCCATCACATTCAGAATAAAAGCCAAAGTCCTCAGAATGACCTGCAAGGCTCATCATGATTTGTCCCCCAGTGACATCTGTGACCTGCTCCTCTCTCCTTCCTTACACTGTTCCATCCTTGCTAGTGTCCACGGTGTCTATGAACAAGTCAGGTCTGCTTTTATCTCTGAGCTTCAGCACTTATTCTTCCCACTTCCTGCAAATGGTTCCCCTTTGTCCTGAAGCCATGAGGCCCCCCGACATTTATTTCTGTTCTCTTCAAATATTGACCTCTCGTTGTGGCTTGCCTTGATCACTCTATTTTAAATTGCATTTACTGTTTTTATTTTCTCCATAACAATTATCATCTTCTAATATTCTCCTTAGTGCATTTACTTGTTACTGTTATTATTTATATCCCCTTTCCTTTTGAGCAGGAGAACAGGAAAGTTTTGGGCTTCCTTGTTTTTTGGGTTTTTGTTTGTTTTTTTTTTTTTTTATTTTTATTTCTCATTCTTTGGACGCATAAAAAGGTGAGCACTCAATAGATATCTGTTAAATGCATGAATAAGTTAATGAATTAATAAATGTAGGAAAGTGTCATTTCTCCATGATTTTTTTTCAGAAAAAGTTATGAGTATCAATGGACTGTGTGGTGCTTATATACTGCTAATTATGTATAAATGAAGTGCAGCAAAACATAGTCTCATAATAATTTCAAAAATACTGATTTTGGACCTAGCTTTTAAGATTTATTTATTTAATGAACAGCTATACTGAACAATATTTTAAATTGTTTGATTGAACTAGGATTAATTATATAAATCATGTGAAAAATTTCAATCATTTGGCAGCCATTTTGTAAACAACTCACTCTATCATTTTGTAATTGGTAGATTGCTCAAATGTTGGAACAGTGTAACACAAAGTTTTCAGATTCAAATAGATCATGATTTTAAAAGGTTGGAACTTTAAAAAAAACAGGATTTTATTTGAGACATTAGGCAATTATCCATATATTTCATCTAAAGACAAATGTAACACACAGCCAACTTCCTTTAAGCCACATTAAAGCATCTAAGAACATATATATATAAAATATATATTATATAATTATAATTATATAATATTTATAATTATCATTGCTCCACTATTATAACCATTAGAAACATAATTCTGTTTAAAAGTTTCAAACTTTTTAAAATTTTTTCAAAGAATAAGTGTAGTTAAATTTTCTTGAAGTTTATTCAAACTGACAGCTATTAAGCACTTACTGTGTATATGTCTGATAGTGCTGTACATTAAATATAGAAAGATGAATATATGTCATAATCCCCAGGATGAAGGCATTATGGAGTTAATAGACTCAGAAGTGTATGTAAAATCAATACATAATGAGAACTATTCTAAAATATGAATAATGATCTTGTACATTTTTTATCTGTAATAGCTTAGGTACTATTTCTTTATTTGTTAACTATGGTTCCAGCCTATCTGCGTCATTTAAAACAAACTTCTCAAACTTCAAGAAACATATAAAATACCCTTTTTCTAGTTATATTAATAAGACTATCAAGTAGCATTTAGTGGGTGTATACCTTGTGCCAAGCACTAGTGACAATATGTACTGTTTCATTTAATCTTCCCAAAAGTCCATTGACATTTCAAGCATAGTATTAACCAGACAATGCTCATATAGATAAAAGAGTAAACAAAGTTTGTAAGAAAGATTTCAGATTAGATTACCTTACAATTGCAATCCATTTTGATTTTCATGGTGGCTTTTTGATTGTTCATGGAATTTCTGAATAAGAAAATACATTTTCACAATGCCAGGCTTTACAAATATCATTTATAAAAGCTAAAAAGTAAAGCAAAATAACTACTGTTTTACAATTACGTTTTAATAATGTTAACTTAAAACTTAAAAATAAAACCACTTCTCATATACCAGTTTGTGGAGGATTGAGTTCCCTTGAGAGAGTGAAAATATGGTCTTAGTGATTTCTTTTATGAGATTACCCTTTCTCATCTTTGAAAACATTGAACAGATTCATGCTTTATACAGTATGTAGTTGAACGTTGGGAACCAAGTCGTACTGCAGTGGTAGGAGTAATTACAGCTGTCAGTTCTTTCAACATGAGAAAACAACCTTGTTTCAACTTTACAAGAAACAGATTGTAAGTATCCAAAGGAAAAGAAATAACAGTCTTTATGTGATGAACAGTGTGGTGATTGTTAAACTAGTAAACTCGGCCATTTGGAGCGATGTATTTACTGGAGGCCGTTGGGAAGAAGATACTGTTTACGTGCAAGTTTGAGAGTGTTTTATGAATGAACAAACAAAAACATGAGCACTAAGTATCTCATCAGGAAGATTATAATGACTGGTGGACTTTTCAGAGTAGAGACATTGTGTCTAAAGAAACTTGTCTTAACTGCTTTCATGTGAGTTTTGTTTTTGTGTGAAAGCACTTCCTTTGTATCTGGGTGTTCCTCACATCTGGTTTATTTGGATGTTAGAAATCCAGGACTTCCTTATACTAAACAAGAAGAGAGCAGATTTAAAATTGGAAAAACTTGAAAACACATTATAAAATGAGGAGCAAGTGCTCTTATTTTTAACTGCTCTGCAATAAATTGTTTATTTTTTAAGCTATTTGTTTAACATGTGCTTCTTCTCTTAATCTGTGTGGAGGGGGTTATTTGGTGTGCTTTTGGCAAAATTCAGTCTAAGTGCCAAAATCAGATGACAGGGAAACTGACAGAAAAGCAAATCCATTGTTTTTATTCCACTGTTAGGTAAAACTTAAGGTCCTGGTTTCAAGCGTTTGCCATTTTTTTTCTTTACTTTGTGAAAATGTTTACTTCTTAGGTAAAAAGAAGAATGATATTAGTTAGCAAATTAACCAAAAAAGTTAGTGTGCAAAAGCTAAAAGATGTTTTTAATGCTAAACAGAGCAGGAACATTTTATTTAAAAAAACGAGACCATGAAAGTGCTAAATATATAAGAATATAAGATTCTGATGACTTTTGGTGGCATCACTTTCCTTTATCTTTACATATTCACTCATGTCCACTACACATTTTATTTTTTTTTTGGAAAAAAAAATGTAACTAAGGGCAGCCAGATGGCCTAGGACAGAAAACAGGACACCTCTCCTTGCCTGGACAGATTTCAAGATTGACACTGCATCAGTGCACAAATGAATCCGGATAATGTGGCAGAAACAAGGTGTCTGCCTCTTAATATGTAGCATGCAAAAGCTGAAGGAATAAAATAAACTTTCACTGACAGTTCTGGTTTGCAGATATATAAGAATGAAATTGTGATGAAGTGAAGGTTTGTACTGGGAAAGAAGCCAGGATGCTATGGTAGTGCGATCCAGTGTTCCACTCTTGGCCAACCAAATTCTGCTCTTTTATGATCGAACCACTTATTCTCAAGTTCTGCTTTAGAAAAAGCAAGATTAATGTGGAAGTCTTCATTAAAATTCAATTGCCAGATATTCCTTAATGCAACTTTAATATAATTTTCTAGGATCGCCAAATTTAAACAAATTCTATTTGACCTTTATTAACAGGCACCCCTTCTCATACTTCAGCTGTTATCCATAACACCTGTAGCAAATTCCTATGGTGTTCTTTCACAAAACCAGATCTCTTGCAAAGTTGATGAAAAACGAAGAGGAACAAGGAGCATAGAATATCATATTTCTTTTAGGTGTTTCTCCTGATTTCCTTTGGGTCCTGGAACATGTGCTTAAGTTTACAGTTATCTAAATAACCCTGCTGCTCCAAGCAGATGACTGTTGTAAAGGGGTAACCTTGCGGGGATAAAACCAGGGCAGGGGAACCCAGAAGCAGAGATGAAACTCTCTGCGGGCTGATGATGTATGTATATTGATTTCACAATTGTCCTACAGGTACTAATTCCAGGAAGTTGCTTCTACATGTCTCTGGGGATGCAGCAGTAAGTAAAAGAGAACAAATCATCCTTGGCAGTAGGGTAGATAGAAAATAACCAACACTAATATATACAGTGTAGGTAGTAACACTCGCTATGAAGAAAAAGAAAAAAAAAAAGGGAAAGAAGTCAGGGGAAAGAGAGAGTTAATGGGCAGGGCTGAAATTTTAAATAGAATCAACAGAGAAAACCCTGAGAAAGTGAGATAAATGCCTAAAGTTTGTGAGGTCTTTTCTGTCCACCTCAGTTGAAAGAGCCTACCATTGCTTGTTTGTGTTTTTAACAGATACTTCAGTAGTTCTATGTATACCATTGCTTCACAAATATTAATTCATTTGAATCTACAAGATAACACAATGGGACACATTCTATTATAATTTTGTAGATGAAAACAAAACTACAATGAAAATAAGTAAATTATCCAAGGTTGCACAACCAGTTAATGTTGAAGATAAGATTTAAACCTAAACAGCTTGACTCCAGAATGTTCTAAACCATTTTTAGATGCGTCTTTAAAAGTAGATTTATTTCTGTGGATTCTACCACTTCATTGAGGATTGCCTTTAATGTTCATGGTAGACAGTATGTGGTTTTTCATTAGGTGACATTGTCTCTTACTTCTCAATTAAGGTATACTTATAAATTCTTGGGGCTTTCTTTTACACTGTCTATTAAAAGGAATGAAAGAATATGCAAAGTATTGGTTGGCTATTTAGTCTGGTCAAGAATTCCTAAATTTGTTTATCAGAAAACAATGTATTATTACAAAAAATGTTAAAGATGTTAAGCAAGATAAAATAAATGTACAGGATGCTCCTTATTATGTCTGCTTTTCCCAGATTCATAATAAATGAACACATTAATATTTTATAGATTTGAGAAGTCCTCTTTCAAAGAGACAAGATTTGCTTTTGTATATCCCGTTGCTTCTCAAACATATTTTACAGTGGGCCTCTTCTTCTCAGCAACAACTGCAACATTCAAAGGACCCCAATGTGCTAAGGAGCATTCTTAATAAACAGTGCCAAAAGAGTACTGGATCAAGCTGTCTTCCAAATTTGGAATTAGTTCTATTTGAAAGGAGTGGAAACTTGGTAGGCAAATACATATGAAAAAATACATATATTTGCCCTTAATTTTGTTAAAGAAAAAATTCCTATGCATGTATTTGGGGAAGAAGAAAAGAAATAACTACTTTTTTTTGTTATAGTCCTAAATAATACATCACTGTAGGGCAAGGGCAATATATTATAAATAGCCTCACCCACATTTCCTTAAGCATATGTGCATTATTTACCTAATTCATTAATATATTAGTTCATTTTGTACTAATATGTCTGGCATATTTTCAAATGTTTCTAATGTGATTTTACTGATTCATTAAGTCAATATTTATCAAATATCTACTAGGCATTTTGATAATCAAAGATTTTATTTTTAGCATCATTTCTATAGCCCTGATTATTTTACACAAAACTGAAGTTCCTTTTACCAAAATCAGATGCATGTTTTATGAATCAGAGCTCTTAGTTGTAAGCATTGGAAACCTGCTGAAGCTGATTTAGTCAGAAAATAAATTTACTGAAAAGAGTATTACTAACCCAGCTCAGAAAGTGGCTAGATACAAGTTAGGGAGGGTACAGTAAGGACCACAGCAAGCACCACCAAAATCCACTAGTGAAGTCCCTGTAATTACCACCACCGTTAGTCCCTGGCTATGGTCTCATTGACACCACGACAAGGCTGTCAATTGAAGTCAGATGGCATTGCCAAAGCTGCTGCCAAAATAATAAATTCTCCACTGCCTCTCACTCCCATTACAGAGTTCTGGGCAGGAATAGTCAATGAAACCAATTGGAACTACAGAAAATAAGTGAGGTGTATTTGATGATTGTGTATCTAAATATAGGAAAGTGGCTCATTTTCTTGGAATCCAAAGCGGATAAATATCTTCATGACCCCCAACATTAATTACTATTAGTGCTATAATTTTCATCATTTTTATTATTACATTGTAGTATATAGAAGTACTCACTGTAATGAAACATCTTAGCTTCACACGGTGATTTATGAGATTGTGTTGAGGTATAAAGGAGATTAATTAAGAAAACTCTAAACACCAACTAGGCTTTATATGGGCTATGAGTTCCTTCCTTCTTTGCTTCCTTCCTTCCTTCCTCCCTTCCTTCCTTCTTTTCCTTCTTCCTATTTTTGTATTTTTTAACTTTTTCTTCAAAAATAAAAGAAAAATTATACTAGATTTGGAAATATGACTAAATACTACAATAACCCGACACTCTAAGACCGTTATCCTAAAGCAGTATACCAAAGAGTTTGAATAAGAAATGATGGTAATCAATTTCCTTACATTCCGTTAGGAGAAGGAAGTTTGCAAATGCTGTAAATGAACATAATATATAATATATTAGAAATCAATAATGTTTGGAACAATCAGAATGGATCTCACATTTCTTCTGGGGGTAACAGACAACAAACATATAATAAATACATAAACTGTATGCTATGTTAAAGTTTGAAAAGGGATATGAAAAGATAGAAAAAGCAGTGTAGCATATCTTGTTAGTGTCTGTTTCTTACAGAAAATGATGGTAATATTTAGATTGTTTTCCTTAGGTTGTTTGGAGAATAAAATGAGACTTCATGTGAAGGCCCTCTGAAAAGTTGTTATGATTACAAAATTGTCAATATTCTTAAGTAAATAATTATAAATAACTGTTCATAAGTAAATAAAGCTTTATATTCCACAAGTCAGAGAAAAGTAATATTAGATTTTGTGTGTGTGTGTGTGTGTGTGTGTGTGTGTGTGTGTGTGTGCGCGCATTCTTTTTCTGTGTGTATTTCTTTCACCAAAGTTTGGATCATGTTGTACAGCAAACTTGTATCTTTTTAATTGTCAGCCCTAAAGATTCAACCCTAAAGCTTTCTTCAATATTGTCACAAACTTGGTATATCTCTTTGGCAACTGCTTTCCAGACTTTTAATAGGAAATCCATCAGCAAAATTTTCACTTTTTATAGTCTCCTCAGCTTACAAAGTTGCTACTGTCTCAAACCTCAAATATTTCTACATTAAAAACATTTTTTAACTACCTATTTCAGAGTGGTTCTCCAATTTTTTGGTCTCAGGATTGTACTCTAAGAAATTATTGAGGTTTTGCTTATGTTGGTTATGTGTGTAAATATTTACCCTAATGGAAATTAAACTGGGAAATTTAACGAAATTATTAATGCATTTAAAAATTAGCAGTAAGTCCACTAGAAGGATGTTACCATCTGAGTGATGATCTCATCTCACATCACGCAGCTTCTAAAAATCTCCACCAAACTCTGGTAAGACAATTAGAGTGAAAAAGACAAACATTACTGTACTGTTACTATGAAAATCATTTTGATTTCCCTGGATCACACTTTAAGGACCATGCCATATTAGAAACTAGAATAAAAAAGGAAAATGTTTGAATGGGTAACACATTCACATGGTTACAATTTCAAAAATTATAGAAGAAATATAGTGAAGTCTCTCTCCACCTCTGCCAGTAAGTCATTGTTTCTCCTCTCTCAAAGCCATTAATAGTATTAGTTATGTGGTTATATGTATACAAAAATTGTGTAATGTTTACATAGTATAAATATAACACCTGCTTTTATACAAATTGAATCTTTCAATTATGTCTTATAGCTTACTTTTTTTGAAATCTAACAATGTATCTTGGAGATCTTTCATATAAAGAGCTTCCTTGTTCTTTATTTTTATGTTTGCATAGTATTACAGAGTATGGATATACCATGATTTATTTAATTAGTTTTTTTACTGACGGGCAGTCATTCATTTTATATATACATATAAAACAAAAACAGTGGCTGTAATGAGTAACCTTGTGTGAATATCCTATAATTTTTATTATTTTAAATCTGACTTTGTCTAGGCACAGTGATTTATGCCTGTAATCCCAGTATTTCAGGAGGCCAAGGTGGATGAGTTGTTTATCCCAGGAGTTCAATACCAGCCTGGGCAGCATGGTGAAACCCTGTCTCTATGAAAAGATATAAAACATTAGCTGGATATGGTAGCATGCCTGTAGTCTCAGCTACCTGAGAGGCTGAGGTGGGAGGATCACCTGAACCTGGGAGGTAGAGGCTGCAGTGAGCCATGATTGCACCACTGCACTCCAGCCTGGGTGATGGGAGTGAGACTCTGTCTCAAAATAATAATAATAATAATAGTAATAATAATAAATAATAATAAATAATAAACCTCTCTTGCTTAGTGAGCCTTCTTATCCAAGTGAGGTAATTCACTTAAAACACAAGTAAGAGATTTACACAGGAACTGGGAATTAGATGAACACATAATTATCCTCAGAGCAGGAATGCTTGAGGCTGAAAAGGGGTATTACTTAAAATTAAAATTGGGGATAACATGTAGAAAGTAAGACAATCCTGGACATATTAGGTAATTTGGTGTCCTGGAAATCATGCATTTTAGAAATGAGGAAAGCAGGAGTAAATACAGGAACATGCCATACTCCAAATAAATTAGATCAGAAGAAATAAAGTACCTTATTAAT
The DNA here is from genome assembly GCF_000001405.40 of Homo sapiens. Classification (NCBI taxonomy): domain Eukaryota; kingdom Metazoa; phylum Chordata; class Mammalia; order Primates; family Hominidae; genus Homo; species Homo sapiens. Next base: position 89,162,344 of record NC_000003.12, read on the forward strand.
TAATAATGTCCAAATAATCTATTTCAGCCATTGTGAATGATGATGTTAGTTTTATGCAAAAGCAAATGCAATGACCTAGCAGAATTTGTTCTTTGAGGATCTGATTTCTGCTCATTTTCTAAAATGTTCCTTCACTCAGTATTGTTCTCTTCCTTCCTCTCTTGCCCAGAAATCACTTGTCCAACCTCTCTCCTTCTCCTCAATTGTAGTTTGGGTTCCCCTGAAATCAGACTGTAGGAAGGCATTTTGTATGCTGAATGTTTAGAAAGGAGTGCCTTTGGGATTCAAACCTGTGGAAAGGAAAGAAAGGAAGCAGGAATGGACAGAAGGTGAAGTGAAGCTGTGATCTAGACCTACCAAGGGTTTTAGCCCAACCCTGCATGCTGGAACTGAGAGGGGCTTTTAGAAAGATCTTGAATTGGGCTGAGATTGCAAGGCCTTTTTATTCCTGCAAAATCACTGGATGTGCCACCCTTGGGAAGGACCTGAACTCTAGGACGGCCACTCCATGCAGCAAAGACAATATCTGAAAGGGTTGAAAGCTGCAGGGTGTCTGCTGACAGCATCCCAGCAGCCGGGGCTGCAGTCCTTCAATGAAGAGGTATTCAGGTGGCAAATTGCAGTGTCAGCCTCTTGTATCAACATAGTCGCACAACAAACATGATTCATACTAAGATATAAATGATTAAAGTTTATATTTACCAGGATATTTCATTTTAGCATGAGCAAAATAAATGAGCCAAATTACAGGAGTGATTATAGCTTTAGGATCATTCACACCTAAACTTGAACCCTGCCATTGCCTCTTATTCACTGTAAGCTTCAGTTTCTTCTTCTATAATATAGGGATGATGATACCTATTTTGGAGGATAGTGTACAGATTAGAGGTTATATTTTAAGTAAAGGACTTAAGCGCCTAGTACATAGTGAGCATTTAGCAATGATGACTTATTTTTAATGAGTAATCATAAAATTGATATTAACTTGATTAACTTTTAGTTTGATACTAAATACTTTGCTATGATTTTGAGGGGTCGGGGGAGAAGGGAACAATAAGGAAATAAGAAAGCTTTCCCAGAACATCTCATTTATGTTGCTGCTGATGCTTTATACTAACCTTTTTATCATATTTTTTAATATTATTGATTTTATTACATTATAATAGCAATACCTCATATTCATATGATATAAAAATAATGTGTAGATGTTTTGTGAGTTCCCTTAATATCCAATGTATACTTCTATTGAAATGTGGGAATGAAACTTTGTAAATAAACTAAATGAATACTAGTTGTGAGTATCTTAACTACACACCTGGGAAATCGAGGACTCTTGTCCGATTTCCCAATCAGACAAGATTGTGAGCTGTGGGTCTCTGCTGTAGCTGGGTGGCAGGTATAAATGGAACACTCCTGAACAAATCAGAATTAATTGCCAAGAGAACCTACAGTGTTACTTTCAAAGGATGATGGTATGGGGAAGGAAGAGACACAAAAACCCATTCTAAAGTGACTGTTTTCTCTTTGAGGTCAATAAAACTGGTCTGGTGGTTTATCCAGGTGAATAAGAGGCTGATTAAGGAATGAGATCTTTAAATCTGATTGTGCCTAGTTTTTTTGTATAGAGAAGTCAATAGTTAGGAGCAACAAACCAGAGTACCAAATAATATTACCATATTATTTTCAAGGGAATAGAAACATCTCAAATTAATCCAGTGATGATTTTGAATTCTTCAGACAGAGGTAGCGTTTCAGACATAAAGGAGTAGAGAAGACTAATTGATTTAGCAGCGCATGGATCTACCAGGTAGCCTAGACAAGGAATGTCCAATCTTTTGTCTCCCCTGGGTCAAATTAGAAGAAGAATAATTGTCTTTGCGCCACATATAAAATACACTGACACTAACAATAGCTAATGAGCTTAAAAAATAATCACCAAAAAACTTATAATGTTTTAAGAAAATGTACGGATTTGTGTTGAGCCACATTCAAAGCCATCCTGGGCCGCATGCGGCCCACTGGCTGTGGGTTGAACAAGCTTGGCCTAGACACGCCCCCCTAAAAAATCCAACAAACCTTTGCAGAGTGTATGCTATTGCTGGGATTAACTGGAAATCTTTCTTGGAAGACATTTTTCAGACCTGTGTCACACCTGACATCTGAATTTTCCCATTCACAGCTTCTCTTGCCCTTTGGATCTGCTTCCACCCAGACTTGCTGTAGGGTAAATCCCACTAGTTTTTCTGTCTTCCTCTGAACTTACTAGAAATCTTCCAGCACAAAATTCTAGATGCCTTCATGATCCTTTTCTTTTATGGAGAAAAAAGATTAAGTAGGCCAAGGAAAGGATCTCCAGATTATTCAATGAAAGTATATGCTTTTCTGCCCATTTACTCTCTAGAGAGCATACAATTAGTGTTAATAGAATGTGTGCTGGTAGGATAATGCCCCAGAACACCCTGCAGAATAGTCACAGTATATCTCAGGGACTAGAAGAGAGTGTTTAATAAATGAAATTATCTGATAATACTACATTTAAAATGGAGGTGTATTTACACAACTACACAGAGACAACTTGTAGTACTACTCAAACAAACAAACAAAAATCTTTCAATGCAGCATTGCTGAGTCAGGGTTTTCATATCCTTATACTTCAGAAACTGTTTCTTATTTGGCTTTTAAAGATTGCAGGTCCTTCTTAGAGTCTTTCTGTCACCTCTGATTTTAATCAGTGAGGGATTAGGAACATAAAACAGATTAATACAGGAGACATTTTGTAAGTGATTCTAATGCAACAACATTCTAGACAATCCCACTGGGATCCATGGGAAAATTCAACCTCATTTCTTTTGTAGCTACAATTGAAACTCTGGGAAAGCTGAATGAGAACACAAAGAACTTTCACTTAAAATAAGACAAATTGCCAATGCTTAACTAATCCTCAAAAGCAGATCTTCCTAAGAATTAAAACGAAATGTCATAGTATGTAATCCACCCAACATATATTATCTGTATATAAAACATTCTTGAAAGAAATTATACTTTTCGTAATAATTATTTTTAATAAATGCAATGCAATGCAAATATATTTCAAATTGGTTCAATCATTCCATCCCCAATGCTATCACCATAGAACAGACCATCTCTTAACTGTTCTAATGCATGGATTAAAAACTTCTGTGCTCTTCTGTGCCTTTCCTCTTTCCATCTCCATATTGTAGTCAAAATGATCCATTCAAAAATGCAAGTCTTATGTTAATTCTCTGCTTAATTTTTAATGTTATTACCTTCAAAAAAATGTGTTACTTTTGTATTCTCCTTTTGAATCCTTGATCCAAATATCTTGCATCTTTACATACTCATCTTCTGAAATAAAAGAAGACATCAGCTTTTGTGCAACAAAATCCTGACTCCTTTCCAAGGCTGTTCAGGCCTTGAATGATAAAGGCCCCTGCCGTTCTGGAACTTGGTCATGCTGTGGCTACACTGGCCAACAATCAGCTCCTCAGAAACACCAAATACCCATTCAGGGCTTTTGTTCCTGTGTTTTCATTTTCCCAGAACACTTTTCCCTGGCTCTTCAAGCGCCGTTCACCCTATGGTTTGTTTTAGATGCTATCATCATCTTTGTTTTACAGATGATGAAACTAAAGCCAGAGAGGTTAAGTAATTTGCTCAAATGCTCATTAATAGCAAATGAGTGGCAGGATTAAAACCCCGGTGATCTAACTCCAGATTCCCGGCTCTTCACTGCATGAGATCTCTGTCTTAGCACCCTTCAGGTCTGGTTCTCAGCCTAAACGTCCGGGTAGTTTTCCCTGTTCCACCGTCTAAAGTAGGTTTAAGAACCACCTTCATCTTCTCATTCTTCGTTTATCTTCTTCTTCATATAATTTATCAAAATTTGTAATTATTTATTATGGTAGTTGTTCAGCTTTTTAAATTGTACACTAAATTATGAGGTTTCTGTGGGCAAGACCAAAATATGCCCAGCACATATACTATCTTTTGAACAGAAGCACTCACTCTACACATTTTTGCTTGAAATAACTAAAACACATGGAGAGGAAGGGTAGTTATTGGATGCCTGTAACTTTTGAAAATGATATAAAGTCTTTAAATTATAATAATTGTTTTTTTCTGATTTTTTACTCTGATAACCATGTTACAAGATTCTATTTCATTCAAACGTATAAAAACAACACCAACCATAAAAACAGTTCTTTGAAACAATGAAGACAAATCAATTATCTTCTATCCTTAGCATTTCTCCCTTTCTCTCCCAAATTCACCTGCTTCCTCTGATTTGCTCTCCTTTTTTCTTTTGCTTCTTGGAATTATTTGCATATAATTAGTTTCCAACACAGTGACATATCAGAAATGTCGTACTCTCAGAATATTTTAGAATGAGGTCTAGGGAGAACCTAAACAAAATGCACCCTTTTATTAAATTGACCTGACAATATTAAGGGGGTGCTTTTGAATGGATAATTCTTTGAAAGCATCAGTTAACAAACAGCACAAAAACACAAGCACAGCAACCCAGCAAGTATGATGTATTATTTAAGAAGGGGTTGAGTGGGGTCTTTATCTGACAAGTCACAGGCAGAAAACACATTCCTGCAAATTGCCCCATTTCTCCTCAAAATGTGTCTGAGGTGAAATGGAGCATCCTTTGTTTCGTACAAAGAAAATAACTCAGGAAAATGACAGTTTAGTGATACATATCCTCATGGTCTAAAAGTCAATGACCTGGAAAAAAAATGATGAAAACTAATTTGTTTTAATGGACAGATAGTATTGTATATTTTTATCATGTACAACATAATGTTTTGAAGCATATATACATTGTGAAACAGTTAACTAGCTAATAGATGCATTACATCACAGAGTTTTTATTTTGTGATAAAAGTACATAACATTCACTCTGTTTACATTTTTTCAAATATAAAATACATATACTTGGAAATTCAAAGGACATATAATTTAAAATATCACATTTATATTCTCTTTAATATTTTCTATTCTTTCAATAAGAAGATAAAGCATAACTACAAGATTTAGCATGGGTAGGGGTAGGGGGAGAAATGAGAAAATGAAGTAGGGAGAAAAGCTATTTCTCTCCCCTATGTGGGGAGAAATAACATTACAAAAAAGAAATAGAAGCTAAAATGCATCATCTTCAATTGTGTGTTATACTAACTCCATAGTTTGAAGTTTGTGCTTATTAGAAATCCTGACATCTGTGAATTTAAGGTAGTTGTCTCTGTTTTTGTCTTAAATGAAAGTCAAAGTTGAATACACTGAACTTTCTGAGGAGCAGCAGAATTTCAAGGGTTCCTTCCTTTAGAAATTATAGGGAGTATCTGAGGACTAACTTGATACTGGAGAAATATTTGCACATTGCTAAAACCTGTTATTCTCTTTTCAACTGGAGCAAGATAGAATTCCCACAGCTAGGTCATTACTATACTTTGACTCCTAAACTCTCATGTTTATACTGTGTCTACATATTTGAGAATTGCAAAAGGTGGGAACAACACTTTCTTCACTGATTTCTATTATTTATTATATACACATATATACACACACACAAATATACATACATATATGTACATATATTTTTAAACAAAATTATGATTAGCATTTTATTTGAAGAGTGCAAAGTACCTAAAAGTCACTAAGACAAAGGTTTGAAGTTGACACTGGATAAAAAGACAACCTTGAAATAATTTTAAAGTTTGCAATTAACACAGATCACAGTGTGGCAAGTAAAAGTTTTAATAGCAGACTGGCCCAGGCCTTGAGGTAAATTATGCATAATTATTCATAACTGCTATTTTTGGCTTGCCTGATTTGTCCTAGACCTCTGGCTGAGGAAACAATTTGAAATAATTAGTGTACTAGTGCATTGACAATGATGAATGAATTGAATACTTCTTGTGCCAAACATAGATCTTGATAGGAAGCAGATAACTTTGACAACTGTGGTATTTTGTTATTAGATCTCTGAAAGTGGAAAGTTTATGTTATTTTTTGTGATTTTTTATAGGGTGTTTCATAAGTCATTCTCTAATGTCCTCAATCATTAATGAGGCTGTGATTAAAAACAAACCAAAAAAAATTTAAAAACAGCATTGATGTTTATTTATACCAAATTTTTACATGTTTAATGTTAAGAGTTTAAACTATGATATTCTAAAAATAACTTCATGGTAATTAAGAGACTTCCTTTCAATTTTAATTTCATGACTAAATTAGAGTTTAGTATATTATATCAAAACTATATTTAAGAAAAATAATACAGATAATTAAACACAATGCTTCTTGAAATAGAGAAGCTTTAAATTTTTCATATGATAATTAGTAATTTTTTCTAAATATTACAAAATGCATATTTGCCTACCTGTTGAGTTCCTATTGCTAGGAAACAAAACCTTCCCTTTACATATGTTAGTATAGAAAATAATTTTCAATGATTAAAATATGCAAATGTATTGAAATTTAAAAATTTAGAAATTCTGGTACACCATCAAAAAATAAAACTAGCAGAAAATTATAGAAAAGTCTCAGAGAGATGTTTTTCCAATTCATTGTACATAAATTATATAAAGCTCCTCTTTTAATTAAGCAAATACTCAGAACACAATATATTCGCATTTTTCAGTAGAATAAACACTAACAATTGTCTGTCTGGAGACAACTGTTCCTTGGCTGGAGGTTTGGACAGACAGGCAATCTTTGTTTTGGTATAAAAGCATCAGCCCATTTAGGTCACCTGAGTGAAAAGAATTAGACTTATTTTTTCTGAAACCATAAAATAATTTAAAAGTATAAAAAGATGAATTCACAGACAACCTTTGGCATCTATAATAATTTTATCACTGCTAATTATACATGTTTTTTTTTCTAATTTTAAAAGGTTAGTTAGGGCATCCACATTTGCAGTAAAATTTTTTTATAGATATTGTACATATTTTTCAGACCGAAATTATAAACATTTATATTACACAGGCACATAGTAGTTGGGTCTTAGCTGTGCTTCTGAAATACAGCATCTAATCAATGTTCTCATTCTCTGTTACTTATAACCATGACAAAATTATTTAAATGATTCTTGCTTTTCATGTATAGAATAAACTGCAATCTTAAATAAACTGCTAATAAAATATATCAACTTGTTTGATAACTGTTATATATAAACTATTATTTTATGTAACTCTTACCCATAATGAAGAGATAAAAAATCACACAGGTGACCATACAGTGTTTTTGTGTATATTTTCAGATATCATATATTTCAAAATTGTGCCTATGACCTTGAAAAAGCTGTTTTTTTGTGGGATCATATGGCTACATAAAGAGACACTTCTCTTAAGTTCTCTTGCATTTATTAGGTTTAAAGTTCAAATATATCATTTCTTCAGTTTTACTGGGATGTATGTAAATTCTACTTCATAACCTTAATTTTGTTTTTTTGTTCATATTTTCTGATAGTAGAAATTGCAGCATTCAATCTACTTTACCTGAAGCCTTTGTTAATTAGATACAGTTACTGGTTTTGACAGAGCCAGATGAACGGCTCTGAAAGTCAACAAACTCTAATATTGAGATTATAGCCTCGGCGGGGCGCGGTGACTCACGCCTGTAATCCCAGCACTTTGGGAGGCCGAGGCGGGTAGATCACGAGGTCAGGGGATCGAGACCATCCTGGCTAACACGTTGAAATCCCGTCTCTACTAAAACTATAAAAAAAAATTAGCCGGGCGTGGTGGTGGGCGCCTGTGGTCCCAGCTGCTCTGCTCGGGAGGCTGAGGCAGGAGAATGGCGAGAGCCCGGGAGGTGCAGTTTACAGTGAGCAGAGATCGCGCCACTGCACTTCAGCCTGGGCGACAGAGAGAGACTCCGTATCAGAAAAAAAAAAAAAAGAGATTATAGCCTCAGAAAATAATGATTTAATCACAGAACTAGAATTACTTAAGTTTAAACCTAAGGATACTTGGCTTAATCTGTGAGATAGCTTTTATTTTATTTTCCTCATAAGGACTTTGTCATATTGGATTACTTTGGACCCAAACCTTCAAGGACACTTAGCCTGGCTCTCTGTCCTGATGGAAATGGAATAGCGGTGGTCTGGGAGTGAAGATTTCCACTGGTCTATGGAATGCACACAACTTGGCTATAAAGTGTAGCCAAGGAGTTGATGACATACGAACTAGTTCTTCTACACTTTTCTTCTGAGACAGGTGCTGTTGCGACTACTCTTGCTATTGAAGTGAAGATAGAGCAAAAGTGTAGACAGTGGGATCCCAAGCTCAAATATAAATATTTAACCCTAAGTATCAGTTATAAAAATGATACGTTTCTATATGTCATTGCAGAAGAGAAACACTTGGGGATTTTGAGACCCTTGAGTGAAGAAAAAGAAAAAACAAGAATTTATTTGAGAGCAATTTGAGAGCAATTTTTGTGAATGCTCATTTTGGTTATTTTTGTTAATATTACCTAGAATTAAGTTCAGTAGTTTTCTGGTCTAGTGGATCGTTAAATAGAAGATGTTTACAGCATGAAGAGCATATGCTAACTCTTTAAAACCATTTTTTTTTTTTTTAAGAATTGAATCTGATACTTTTGCTTAGCTGGATAAGGGAGGCAAAATTTTTAACAGATTGAACACTTTAAAAAGGCTTCTGTTTAGTATCACATTATGGGCATGCATTTTCAGATTGGTACAAATTAGCCTTGATATTACATGAAGATTTTTATGTCTCAAATTTATCAACGTTGTTTCAAAAACTATATGAAGAAAGAAGCGTTTTACCCACTAAAATAAAATGAACTGTTATATAGCAGGCTTAACTACCTCTGTGGTAAGTTCTCTGTGAGAGAATATAAAATAAGCATATTTTATTTTTCAAATGCCTCTTGTCATTTGAAGCCAAGCAGATTCAACTTTGTGGCAATGGCTACATACTGAACTCTATGAGAACAATAATGTCTCAAATTGATTGAATATCACTAATCGGTTCTAAAGAAGGTGATACTGTCTTTAAGTTGGAAGCAATTAATTTTGGTGTACAATGAAGCAAGCAATGGATATAATAGGTGTTTTTCTTATGACACAAATTGATAACTTGATTTTGAGGCTTATATTGAGTGAATGTCGTGGGAAGTAATTTTACAAACTCTTCTCACATTTGTTTCATTCTAAGAAAATGGTGAATGATAAAATAATGGGAAAGAAAACAGCATCTATAACTTATTCAGGATTGCACACTCTTTTCTTAATTGCTTTAGGGTACAACTTCAGAGCTTATTGCTAAAAGGTTATATGTTTTCCTTGTGATGTGATTTTCTAATCACGGGGAAAAAAAATATGATATCATCCCAAAGGAGGCAGTTGAACAAAAGACAACACATAACCAGAAAAGCAAAGGTTCATGGCCTGACTTAAAACTCCTTTGAATCAGGAACCACCTTATGATCACAACTGCCATGTTTAAATGCATGACTCAGAGATGTGCCTATCGTTGATAACATTAGCGGGTCATTGTGTAAGCCTGACCATAATCTTTCTATAGACAGAAGCCCTCTGTTTGGGTGGAAGGCTTAAAAAGTAGTGTTCTGTGAGATAGATTGCAATTTCTTCCATTCGCTTTTGTTTCTTCCTTCTTCGTAACCAACCGCCCCTTCTTCTCTACTCCCCCACCACCCCCTTTACGTCTGAAGCCATCAATTCATGTATTTAAATGTCCTTGGAAACTGAAAGTAATCTAGAAGGTTATTAGCATATTGTTATAAATGTTAATGGCCTGACAGCAAGGATGGGCTTTTTCTTTTATGCGTGTTGTTGTGAACATTGTGAGTTTAAATGGGGTAAATCTTCCCCATTCAGAGTGTTGCCCTGGCCCTTCATTCACATGTCAGGAGCTCATTGTGTGCCCAAACCTTGTCAGAGGCTTCTAGATGTTTAGTGGCAGCAGCTTGCCATTGAGAGCTGGGAAGAGGGCTGTTTGGGATGGGGGAAAGACCAGCCTAGGCAGCCAGGTGGTGGCCAACTGGCCAGTAACTGACAGACAATTTAACCTAACCAGGCTGTACAGTCAGGCCTGCGTTACAAAAGACCCACATGTGTCCTTAGCAAGCTTCATTAACTCTTTTGGCTAGGGCTGTACTCCTCTGACATATTAATTAGTTGCAATGCTTTCTCCTACTCCAACTTAACCTTTCCATTGGTCACTCGATTCAAGTGGATCCATTGGAAGCTATTAGAATAATATGCAAAATAACTGGAAAAATAGCTGTAGGAGGAACAAGATTCCCTATCACTTCACTGATTTTGTAAGAAACAACAATGTTGAAAAGAAAATGTGTGATCATTAATACTTCACTCAGAAAGGTGATCTATTCCATATTGTTAATAATAACAGGACATCAATTACAGTGTAATTATGTGCATGTCATAGGTATAGAATTGTCATGATTTATTCTGTCTCTGTAATAAAAATAAAGGAAAATACTATAAAACAACATTTTGATGTATTTTAGGTTATCTTAATGACCAGAGTGACTTGATGTGGGGATTATAAATTGGTTCAGCTTTTTGAGTAATTTTCACAAGTTAAAGTCTTAATGAAGAAGAAATTGCAATATTCAAAAAAGTTAATATTTTTAATATTATAACAAGTACAGTATTCAGAATCTGTAAATATGTTTCATATGTACATAGGTAGAGATAGATATACATATAAATGTATCCACCAAAAAAGATGAGTTTTTTGTGTACTCCTTGATATTTTACATTTCATAATCAAGTGCTGTATCATGTAACTCTAAGTAGAGATGCATCAAGTATTGAATTTAATGACTATTGAATCTAATTTGTATCCTTTGTTTGTTTTGCTTATAGAATGTTTTTTGTCAGAGGTATTCTATACGCATAAATTAAATGTCCAAATTTAATTTGGAATTCCTAAAATCCAAGGCCAAAAATGCATTTTATATATCAACCCTTACATAGGCAGTAAATCTTCAGTGGTATAGTACTTTTAACTTCTCACAGCAGATAAGTCACCTCTCAAATCCATTGGGTGAGTAAACTCAGTTTCATTTTATCGTTTTAGATACTGTTATTTTTCCAACTTAAGGAAAGTTTCATATTACTTAGTTCAATATCCTAAAGAAAAAAATAGAAACAAGTACAATGTGTATACTTATTATTAAATGTTTTTATTAGCTATGTAAAATCAATAATTCTAAAAGTAGATTTTGCTTTAAACTGTATTACCAGAAAGAGAGAAGCTGTATTCAAAACCTGATGATGAGCATTGTCTGCTTACTTTTTGGTCAGCTTCACTGTATTTTTCCTCACAATAATTGGTTAATATGAGTCAGGCTGACTCTAAAATAAGCATATCTGAGGCAATTCTTGAGAACTAAAACAATGTGTTTAGTTTTAAGTTACATATAAAAATAACATACTGTCACATTTCAAGAAAAAAGAAAAAAATGATCCCTTCAACATTGGCTATTGTCTCTAAAACATGTTCTATAAAAAATAAAGTAAATTAAAAAAACATAGTGAACAACCACAGTCTGGTAGCAAACATGCATTTTATTCCCAAATCACACGTGTGTCTTTTGGGACATATATTTTGGGAAAATAGTTGATATTGGTGGTAGAAGCAAGGAAAAATTACTCGGCTTTTACAGAGAAGAAACTCAAGAAAAATGCTATGTAAGAAAAATGACTCATGGAGATAAGTTATAATAGTTTTAATTTCAATTGATTTTAATTTAATTGTGAATCTTAGGGACTCAGAAATGATCTGTTTTCTGTTGGTGAAAGCTGCACATTAAATATCAAGAGGTCTTAGGTTTCCGTGATACTAGGTGTTCTCATACTTAGATAGTCTCATGTATTTGCATAGTAATAAGATTATAATATCTGTCTCTAGGAGTGCTTAAGTCTTCTTTATCATCCACGAGTAATCTGAATATACCTGATCAAGGCAAAAATGTAAGTGTGGTCATTATGAGTATTTCATTATTGTTTTTATCAGGGAAATGAGATTATCTGCAGCTACATACAATGAGCTTATTATCTGTTAGTAGATTGGGTCTCTTTTTTAATCCATTTCTAAGCAGCATGTGCATTTACATAATGTACATATCACTTCAGGAAGTAAAATTACAAAAAGATTGATTGCAGAGAGTATATTTACCCTATATTCTAGCAAGTTCATCATTTTTTTAAGAATCCCTGTCTTGAATGTAAATCAGAATTATTATATCCTTAATAATATAGTTATAAATCAGAGCCAACAGTCTTAGAACCACACATCTTAATGAAGTTACTTTTTAAAATTAACCACCAAGTTAAATTATGAAATATATATTAGAGTATGATATTTGCCAGGTGATAATACTTTAAAAAAGATGGAGCTTTGGAAAGAATTTATACTAATCAATTTAATAGGATATAAATAATTATAAGATGTTTTGACCCTACATTTTTAAAAATCAAATCAAATTTGGTAAATCTGATAAGAATAGCATGTGCAGAGGAAAAAAAAAGCATGAAACATTGTGTGAACTAATTTGGTTGTCTCCATTTAATTGGAAGCATGTATTAACATTCTGTGGTTCTGCATAATACTTTTTCTGTTAAACTAAGCTTCAAAAATCTGGTAACAATAGGTTTGGTAAAGAAAAAAAGTGATAGCATTTTTTTTTTTTTTTTGTAATCTGGCCTTGAAACTTTCACCTGAGGAAATAAGCATGTGTTGGTTGTATTTGGCAGTAGAATGTTACCTTTGAAAATAGGCCCTTTTTATTTGATGTGATCCAAAATAAAGCTGAAACAAATTGGGTCACAGGTGCCAACACTTGATAATTTACAGTGTGGTAAAACCGAGTGGTGTTTGTAAGTATAATTTGCTCCGGGAAAATTTGAAACCACTTTAAGTTGGAAAAGTGTCAATATTTTATAACATATTTTATACCAACCATACCCAGATTGCAAGATCCTTTCTAACTACAAGCTGTAGTTAACTTTCAACTATTCATTTAAATTTGTGGCTTACAAGTGTAGTGTAAAGTCACTGGTCATTTATTAAAGCACATTCTTTAAATATTAAGACACAGGAATTGATAAACATATATATTTTAGTATGTGGAAGTTTATTTTGAACCTTGTTGAGTTATTAACTTCAAAAAAATTTTGACCAAATTAGTAAAATTATGTTTCAGCCTTATTGGCTTTATGACATTTAAAAGATTATAGGCGTTGAAGTTCAAAAACTAATATTATTAAATATTAGTAACTAACATTATTCCACTTTAAATTTTGATTTATACAAGTTAATTAAAATACTTCCTAAAAGGACGGGTTGTCATCTAAAATTTTCCTTTTGGTTTCTGAACCATGCCTGCGATTCTATTCTGGTTCTCTTATATTCTGGTACCCTTAGCATTGAAAAAGGAAGGAGGAAGAGGAGAGAGAAGGGCAAAAACATCCTATTCTCCAGGACTGAATTCCTCCTTCTGATTAGAGTTATTCTGTTGTTATTGTTGTTTTTTTACAGTTGTTTTCGTTTTGGCCACCACTGACCCCCAAGTGATGCTATCTTGTGCAACTTTGCTTTTATTTTTTGTTTAAGTTTCAGATATTTTTGTGAGATATTTTGTAATACTTTAATATAGAATCTGAAGTTTCTTTTAGCATTTTCCCATTTCATTTCTCATTTTGTGATACACATCTCAATATATTCCAATTTGGAGATATTAGTATATGCCACTGTAGAAAGATTATAGGTGTTGAAGTTCAAAAACTTGACTTAGAAATATCTTTTTGTGGCTGGACATGGTGGCTCACAACTGTAATCACAGCACTTCAGGAGGCGGAGGCAGGAGGATCACCTGCGGTCAGGAGATCGAGACCAGCCTGGCCAACATATAGTGAAACCCCGTCTTTACTAAAACGTGCAAAAATTAGCTGGGTGCGGTGGTGCATGCCTGTAGCCCCAGCTACTTGGGAAGCTGAGGCAGGAGAATAGGAGAATCTCTTGAACCCACCCAGGAGGCAGAGGTTGCGGTGAGCCAAGGTTGCGCCACTCTACTCCACCCTGGGTGACAGAGCAAGATTCCATCTCTAAAAAAAAAAAAAAAAAAAAAAAATATATGTTTTTTCACCTACTGTTTATTCTTACACCAGTTACTTAACCTTTCTAATTCTCAGGAATTTCTCTTGCAGAATGAGAGTAATAATACATGTCTCACAGAGTTGCTGTGTGCAACCATATTTTGTAAAGCATCTTACACATATTAACAGTCTTAAATCTTATTTAGAATCATAGTGTTACAAATGTATTTAACTATAAGTTTATTAATACATACATCATAAAATCCTTGTCTCTGTTGGCATTTGTTGTGCAAACCACTTGGAATTTATCTGTAATATACCATAGGAAAATGAATTGAAGAAAATAAAATTTTCAAAATGGCTTTCAAATATTTTATTTTAATTTTATATGGAGATTAAAATAAATACATGCAGATATTTTTCTTAATATTTCAGATTCTCTTGTAACAACAAATACCAAATACAAAAACACAGCCACATACAGGACACATATCTCACACACACACACACACGGTTTTCTTAGACATTGACTAATTTGCAAAACCAAACGCTTACTTATATGTAGCATAGCATAAAGGGTTCACTCTGCGTGTGTGTGTGTGTGTGCACGTGTGTATGTGTGTGTGAGTTTTATCACTTCTCATAATCATCTGAAATTTCCTAAATATTATAAGAGTAGTTTTTCTTCTTATATCTGATTCCACATCTTAACAAAAACTTTTACCTCTAAGCATGGACAGAATGCTGGTTAGCTACCTGCCAGCAATTCTTTACATCTGATCTGCAAAAGGACACTTGTCTGGGTGTTGTGCATGCCTTGGTGTGCACTGACAACTGAGTGTTAAAATCTCTGGGGGACATCCAGAGCGACCACAAGTCTGAGGCCTTGGATTACCTGTCCACATTTGGGACTGTAACTGTGAAAAAAGATTTCTCTCTCATACATCTGCCTTCTCTCTTCTGATTTGATGTTCCCTCTCCCATTGGTAAGATTTCAGTAAACAACTTCAAAGACTGACATAGGCTGACAGCACACGGCAGATGTGAAGGGTTACTTCCTTTCTCTTTTAGGTTTCATTTTTTAAAAATTTTTGAAATTATCAATTAGCCTTAAGGTTTAGTTTGTTAGAAAGGGTTTTGAAAAGCCACTCAAATTGCCAGAAAATGTGAAGGATAGCAAATCTTCAAGGTGTTAGTTCAAATTAGTGGTTGCTAATTAAATGCACTGTTTTATCAAATCACTCTGTACATCTCCTGTGGGTAATTTCAACTGTAGTCCTGACAACATTTGATGTGTTTTATATTTGCATTCACTGTTTTTGATGCTTGCTTTATTTCCTCTTCTTCTACCTCTCTTTCCCTCACTCGTTTTATTCTCTCCTATTTAAATACTGTGCTGTTCAATTAAATATTGATTGATTGATTTACTACACTCAGAATTTTCCAAAGAAGACTGAGTCACAAAGCAAAAATATAATGTCTAATGATAATGAACATAATATCCTCCAAAGGAACCAAAGTATTAGAGGAAAATCCCAAGGGGTGAACTAAATTCATATCTATTTGTACATTTACATTTTTATTTTGGGTTCTACCACTGAAATTTTTATCTTCTTTGTGGATAGTCTTAAAGTGTTGATTACAATTATTCTACTGAACTTTTTCAAGGTGCAGTTCCCCTGGCATGATGATTCTAAAACAAATATTTACTAGGAATAAATGACATTTTAAGGGCTTATAATCAAGAGACATATGTAGCCAATAGATAGATAGATAGTAAATAATTTCAAGTCATTTTTATGTTATTACATCTTCTAAATATAATTTTGATTTCCATGTTGATATTCCTTTATTCCATTTGTGCAAAGATGGAACTAAGGTATAAAGAAATGCTGTTAGCATACGTATAATTACACATACATTATTGTTGAGGAAGGAATTAGAAATAGGAGTCTGGCTGTGGAGTTATATGTCATAGCAAAGATGTACCAACTGTTTTGAAAGAAATTCTTGTTCTGAATTTTTAGTCCTTGGGGAATAATAGCTCCTGTGAATCCATTATTTATTACTGTAGATAGTACACTATCTATGAAGTTTGTGGATTGGAGCAGATATTGTTTAGATGTTTTAGATGCACTGAAAATTATATTATAAAACCTTTTCTGTTTTATTATTAATTCTGAATAATATAATGTATTAACTAAAATAATAATATTTTCAATACTGTTATATAGAATCCTCTATTTTTAAAGCATTTTGAGTCCATAACTTCTATTTGTTGAGCCACAGAAGAAATTTATATTTTATTTTTATGGGTAAAAGAAAAGTGTTTTATATCAGTTACTGCTTATAACTAGCATCTGAATCTTGAGAATAACCTTTTCTATGTGTTTAAAGTCATAATTTTATTGCTTTTATCCATTGTGTATTAAATCATAATAAGGTAGTCAAAGTCAATAAATGTTTGTGGTATAAAAACTAGATGTATATTATATTATTAATGTGGGATGTTTTTCTAAAAGCAAAATGGTACAAACTATATCGCTTATATTTTATAAAAATTTTCATTTTTCTTTTTTTACTTGAATAAAATAATTTCTTTATACCTAATGAACCATTTGAGTAGTGTTATTTGTGTTTCTTGCAATGTTGAATTGTTTCATGTGCATTTTTATGTTTGCCAATGATTCAAGTATTGTGAAATTATATTTGAGATGGAATTTATTTGGAAGACTAATTAATATGTCTTTTTCTAATGTTTTTCCTACTGTTATACTGATCTCTGATATCTCTTATTCCTCCCTCAAAAATCACATGGGAATGGAGTATAGATAGTTATCAGAGAAGGGGTTTTAAACCAGTCTAATTTCTTTAAAAAGGAGGGGAACTTTTATAATTAGTTACCACCATTTGCCTTTATTTTTCATATAATAGGATACTTACTCCATCATCTAATAAGAAATAAATCATGATTCATAGTGAGTCTCTTTATGATCTTTGGTCCAGACCAGTCCAAGGGGAATACAAGCATAAAGTCTGAATCTTCTCTCATCTTTTTCGCTTAGATTGAGGTCACTGTTGGGGCAGAGCAGGGAACTGTGTGGTTAACTGTAGTGAAGACAGCCTTTGAGCCCAATGCTAAGTGTTATGTTCAAATGTTGCCAATATTTTTAAAGTCTGTAAAAAAAAAAAAAAAGATCTTCAAAAAATGTGGACAATGAAATCCTTGTCTAGCTCCTTTTTCGCTTTTTCCTATTAACACATAAAGTCACAAATGCATGTTACCAAGTCAAACATACTCACACTTGTAGATACATGTTCCCAGCAGGGTTTCATTTGTGCTTAGTGCTGCGGTTTGGTGAAAAACCCTCTCATGTGTATAGTTGTTTTCATTTTTGAGCTTGTCACAGCATGAAATCAGTGTCTCACTGAGAGCAGGGTTTTTTTTTTTCAATACCCTGAGACTTAGAGGCTAAGTAATTTAAATGTTTAAATATGCAGAAATACAACTCAAGTGCAGTTCGTATATTCATATCAATTTCTGTTATAAAAGGTTAAAACAAAATGCTGTAATCTGTAGTTGAGGGTGTTTAGAAAACCTGTTCTATTTGTTTCCGTGTTTTTCTACAACAGCATAAATTTCTTCCCTAAAAATCTACAAATGCATAGTGTGCCAATTAAATGATGTCAAAACAGCTCAACATTAATTTTTTTTTCATGAAAGCTTTCTTACCTGCTATACATCTAAGATATCTTAAATAGACCAGGCTTGAATGTGGAAATATTTAGGCATTGTCCTTTATGCAATTCCAAATCTGATTTTTTTTTTAAAGTAAGTTACCCACTATACCATAAACAGAGTCAGAAGTTAGTTTCTCTTGATTTTCAAGTCTGTGTGTATTCAGTTCCCTAAAAAGAAAGATGAAACCATTCTCTTAAATTTATGGTGTGTATATTTACTGACTGGCATGTGACAGGAACACTGGTTAGAAAGCCACAGCATTATGATGCATTGGGTCAAATATTGTTTTGACATTGTGCTTACTTTACAGTAATCAACATATTAAACTGAGGAGCATTTCCTTATATATGCAAAATGCAAAGTATAAGGGCAGCAGTTTAGTAGCGTTATAAGGCCATAGAAGGTTAAGGTTTGCTTGCCTTGTGGTGCAGCTGATAAAACAATTGGACTGTTTCCAAAATTCCTTGACTCCAGCTTTGTCATTTATTTTTCTCTGTCGTTATTTTTTAAGGAAAAAAATAGACTTGTTTCCATGAAACTCTGAGGTGGCAAACCTGTACTTCACATAAAATAAAAACTTTTTTTGTAAGTGAAGTGCATATGGGACTACTCTGGCAAGTTTAGTTTGTGTAATTTGCTAAGACTTGCTTGTATAGGAGGAGCTAAAATAATTTCCAGAGAGTTGGAAAAAAAGAGATTTTGTCACAGCCTTTTGGACAAGATGTTGATAAACCAAGTGACTGATAAACCCCTTTAAATGGGATATTTTCCATACTCCAACACATAGTATGAAAATTTATTTTCATAGTTTTGAAAATGTTTCTTTTTATGTAAACAAAAACACTCATATTGTAATTATGTAATTTGAGTTTGACAGACTTAAGTAATCTCCTAGTTTTATTTAAATGACTTTTGTATTCTACCTGTTTCTTTTATATTGAAGTTTACTTTTTGAGCATTTCAGTGAATTTATTGGTGTTCATTGGTTTTCTGCCTTGTTTTCAAAATTGTAATAGGCATGTTGAAGACCACAGAAGAATTTCTGAGTTAATTTCCAGTTGAGCAAATATGACAGATATATTAAATAAATGAATACTACCATAGAGTTTAATTCTTCTAACTTCTACTGATTTTTTTTCTTACAGCAAAATATATCAGTTATATATTTTGTCACATAGCTCAGTTTTGTACACTGATTAAAATATTTGAGAAGCCAGGCAGACATTCAAATGGACCTGTTTAATAGGTAGTCAATGACAACCTCAGAAGGTGATGCAGCCAAATAAACAGAAAAATAAATAAAAGACAATGTAATGGAGATGGTAGTGGAGAGAGATATACTTAATACTGCGGTGTTTTAAATTTGAGCTTTTGGATTATTAGTGCCATATGCAATCAGTAAGTATGTCATAAATCTTGTCCTTCAGAATTATGAGATATCAAGACCAGCTCCATAATCTGGGGGTATAGGGTATTTTTGAAATACCTTGTTCAAAAACTAACAACTTTAAGATTGTGGCAGCAGATCGTTAAATCTAAGCAGAGAGCCCTAGGAGACGATACAGATTGCATGCTCAGAAAGCTGGCCTGTCAGGCATGCTAATTGAGTGAAAGTCTTCAAAGTAAGAAATGGTTTTCAATTATTTGAATCATTATTCCTTGGCAAAATGCTAGTACCTTTTTTAAGGGTCGCTGGGAAGGTTGATGAAATATTTCATGTAAACGTCTTAGGCAACAGTGAGCACTTTAGATAGCATTTGACCAGTGATAATCATTTTCATCCTTACTTATCTGTTAGCTTTTTTTTTTTACTATGGTTTTCCTCTTATTTGATGACCATACTATCATAAATTTTCCTTTATTTTTCCCCTTTATCCTTCTCTTCTCTTCTTTATGACTTTAATTGGTTTTTTCTCCTTTCATTGAAAAATAAATACTGGTTTTATACCACTCTTTATTTCCTATAACAAGGACAGCTGTACCCAGTGGTGCCACTTTATAGCCCCAACCATGCCTCCATGCTGAGTGTGTCCTTTCATCAGATTTCCTTGACATCTGTAAAAGATCAGTCCGGGAATGTATAATTGCTAATGGTATAGTCTGTACAGTACAGAAAATATGGCTATTCATTGTGGAGAGTAGCCTAGTCACTGAAGTTTAAATACATCAGAGTGTCCTTTAAAAATAAGAGGTAGGAATGCATTGATAGCTTGGTGTAGGAAATTTTATAGTCTGAATAGATTCTCAATTGATTTTCCGTATAGTACACATAGATTTCTATTCACTTTAGTGGAGAATTTACAAAAGGTATGCCTTACATTATGTCATGAAAAGGAAAATATTGAAAAAAAGGTCAATCCATACATAAATTTTGAGCAGAGAAAGTATAGCTTAAATGAAATAGGTTTTTCTAATTATTGGTAATTTGTGTGGTGCGTGCATAGGCATGTGTGT
Source organism: Homo sapiens (assembly GCF_000001405.40). NCBI lineage: Eukaryota > Metazoa > Chordata > Mammalia > Primates > Hominidae > Homo > Homo sapiens. The sequence continues at coordinate 89,182,683 of NC_000003.12, forward strand.
ACTTCTTTTGCTTTACCTGGAAATAGTCTATGTATGTAAAAGTTGAGGTATAATCAACAAAAACTTAGCATATCTTTCTACATCTGTACCAATGTCAGGGAACTATGATGTCTCTCACACTCCTTTGAAAGAGAACATTAAAAAAAATCAAAACTCCCTCTAAGTAATATAAAAATCTATTCATTACTGGTTTTCAGAATCACATGGTATATATTACATTGTTACTAAAATATTTTGAATGAAAATTATCTACAATAAATAGCTTATTATTTCCACTGAATTACACAAAGCAGACATTGAAACTTGTCAGAATGTCAGACATTTTTTAAGATGAAAGGAAAACTGATTACAAATGTGATTTTAATTTGAGGACTCGGAGAGGTAATCCTTGAAGTCAGAGTTCCAGTATAATTTAAAAACATCCAAAACTTTTGATGATGTACTCTGATAGTTAAAATAATTATTGAGTTCCTACTACATGTATATTCATAGATAGCTACAGATTTAGTTATTAAATTTCTACATGTACCTTTCTATATATTGTACACACAATTGAAATTAAATATGAATTTTAAAATGGACTGCACAAGGATGGATGACTTCCTAATCTCTTCCCACTGTCTCACATGCTTCATTGAGCTCCTAAGAGGTTTATTCTATTATGCATAGTCCTGGATGGTGCTTTGGGTGAGATCTGTAAGATTTGGTCTTTTCTCATGGCTGCAATTAGATCTTCTCTTGCTACATCATCCTACCAAATACCCAAAGATATGTCAATATTATCCTGATTAGAAGGTATGGTAACCCACAGGACCTTTATAAATCACCTTTTGCCTCACCTTCCTCTCTATCACTTAGGGTCTTAATAATTATTGCCTAAAGTTCTGAAGTACTCCCTACACACACACACATGGCCTCCAACTTTATATTAAGGTGATTTAATAAAGAAACTATTTTTTAATGAAAACAGATGCATTCTAAGCCTTTTCTATTAACATGATGATTTTTTAAAGACTTTATGTTCCTTTTGCTTTATGAGCAGAAATCTAGAATTTTATAACTCTTATACTTTGTTTAATGGCTCAAGAAGTAGCTGTCACTTTTTGGGAACTGGGAATTAGCTACAGATTATATACTGCTGTCTTATCTGAAATTCATTTGCAAAACTCTAGGGTTGAAACTACTTGTAATTGTAAAAGTCTGTGAGATTTGCTGGTTACATAGAGACATTGAAATGATTATGTAAATGATCATTTAAATCATATTACTATATCCTATTCTATGACTATAAAAATTTTTAAGATATAATTTTTATGAACAGTATTTTGTGTTTTTTTTAAGGTTTGACCTTTTCCTTTAAATATATTCACATGATTCGGAGCAGTGTTTGGAATTTTCAAGATGTTGGTATTCTTCAAATGTTTCAGGGACCAAATAGTTATAGAGATCACTGGAAAATGATGGTGATTTTCCTCCTCAACTTATTCTTAGATAGAAATTGAAAGAAACCAGTTCCCCTAAGGGAAAATATTTTCCCTTGGCTTCATGAAGAAAACACAAGGATATGTGTGTAGAAGTAGTTGAATGGCTGGTTGACTTGAGTGGCTTCATCAAAATGGAGGCCCCTGTAGAGTAATGGTATCCTTAGTAGGTTCCAAGTTACAGGGATTTCTTGGCATGAAAACCATTGTGCTCTATTTGTGTTTGAAAGGCCTCCATTCATTGGGCTGGTTGTTTACATTGGCATTAATCTAATTACATTCCGGTTGTTTTGAATTTAGTTTAGATATGCCATAAGTGATTCTACTTTCTATAATCATATGCAGAAATTACAAAGTAGCAGTCAACGAATTACTTTTAAAATAAGCAAACACTGGAACAACCAAACTCTTATGTTTTTCAGGAGCAAAATCCAAAATGTAAACACACACTGAAAAGCTCTTTAAAAATCAATGAAAGATACTGTGCTTTTCCAAGCCAGAATTCTTGGTTTCCCTTGTGATTGTTAAAACAAAAGGAAGCAAAACTCTTGAAATGGATTCGTTTCAGCATTTTCTTCCCCACATCTAATAAGAGGGAATGTTTTCCAGCAAGATAATGATGGGGAGTCAGGCGGAAAGATAGGGGACTTAGGAAAAGGGATAGCAGCAGTGATATTAGAATGTGAAGCTGGAAACTACTGCTCCCAGGACTAAATAGTCTAAGTGCTCCCAAATCTTGTGTCCATTACCAACAGGGAGATTGGCATGTCTGGTTTGGAAAGCATGTTTTTAATTTGCATTTGTCTAAAATTAAAAAGCCAACTTCTTATTGGGTGCTTTTCTCCCCCTGCTGTCTCTGGATTATTTTTCTGCTGTGAGCTCGTGCTTTATCTGCATGTGTGGGCTGTGAAGGTAGTATATGACTGGGCACCTGTAATCAAAGTATGGTAAAGAACCTAAACCTAGAAACATTATGTTGTTTCCTGTATAATTCAAAGTCAAAGCAGCATCAGTAATATAATTGTAACAACGTCCAGCAAAGTTCTAGCTTTTCTCCTTGTCAAACATTTATTTATTTTCTTTTAAAATATCAAACACCGTTTTAGATTTTAGAAATTAGAAAAAAAAAGTTTGGTGACTTTGCTGTCCCCTACATACATGTTGAACTCTCTGGTGGGTACTCCAGCACCTGTTGGGGCTGAATTAAGCATTTTATTGGCTACTTATGTAGAAAGGAAATTATATTTGATATATTAATATATTTAGTAGTTGAGAGAATAGATCTCAGGAAAGCTAAGTAATTTAACAGATATCAACAGATATTGTGAAAACAAGAATTAAAATCCAATTTTCTTACTTGTTCAATTCCCTGGTCCTCCTCTACGTTTTTCACTGCTGGCTAGAGGACTGTCTTTTGTATCTTCTCTAGGGCTTAAACTTGGCAAAAATGTGAAGTAGGTGGGATTGGAGGAATGTGTTTTGTTCCTTCAGTTCTACCCTCTCACTTTTCATTTCACTTGCATCCTCACAATTTCCACACAGCTCTCCCTTTCTACTTTGTCTACTCTCAGAGCCTTCTTGGTTCACATATTCGCATTTACACAAATGATGATTTAGGTTTAACATTCTATTATACCCAGGGGTGTGGTCATTTTTAGGGACAAGCAACAGGATTTAGAGGGATAAATGGTTCAGTAGTGGAATGTTGTCTTTTGAAAAGTGATATTTTGAGAGGAATAGCCCCTCATTGTCTATTACTCAAATTTAATGCATATTACAAATAATGCTTATTTTGTTTGCAAGAAGGTTCATTTTTTTTCTTTCTTCCTTCTTTTTACTTTCTCTTTTTTCTTTCTCTCTCTCTCCTCTCCTTCTTTCTCTTTTTTTCTTCTTTCTCTGTCTCTCCTATTCATTCTTTCTTTCATCAAGTGGTACATGTCTACTGTTTGTTTCTAGAGATGAAACCTAAATTATAGTCTTACATTCATAATTGGCAGTTAGTGAGTCCACCTTATTTTTCATATAGACTTCTTTTGGTAAAATTTCACTGCATTATCATGATATATTAATCCATCTTGATACTATATTGTAACTTCCTCTACACCTAACACCCTTTACCTTGTCTTTGAGGTCCAGGGACCTGTTTAAATACCTCTGTTCATTTTTATAATGATACAATCTGTAACTATCAATACATGTCCTTGGTTTAAAAAAAATATAAATAAGATAGTAAGTTTACAACTCACCTATAGCTTTGTTAACCTTTTTTTCTTTAATTCTTAAAAATTATTTCAAAGTCAAAACGGCTTCAATTTACTTTCCACTGTCACGAATTTCACTCTGTGAAATGAGAACAACTCAAACTTCACATTGAGAAGTATTTTCTGATGTTTATTAGTTGTGCTTGTATAGTACTGCCAATTACATTTATTAGCCCTAAATATTAAACAGCTGGCAGAATTCCATTGTATATAAATAAGACATTTGAGACCTGGACAAGTGCCATGTTGAATACAGCCAGCTGGTGCTTTTTACAGTTTTTTTCGGGCTACTAGTACTGATGCCACAGTACATTCAGTGTTTAGGTAAATGACAATAGAAAAACATGTTGTGAATTGGGAATTCTATAGGAAATTCCATTATGTAGAAATATAGCATTTCAAAGACTTTTAAACCAAGGAAATGATACGTTATGCACCTGTTGATTGAATTTGTTGAATTTTGTGTTGCCTGGAATATGTTTTTAATCTTTAATTTACTGTGTGCCCATTTTATATTGCTGAGTTATGCCATGCAAAATGATGACTGCTTTTATGTTTCGTCTTCTAATAAAATAAATTTTTATTTCAGATTTATTTTAATTATAAAAGTGTATTGAACTTAATAGTAGTATACAGTTTAGATTCTCACTTTATATGTAGAATTTACTCTTTCAGAGTACTACAGACTTTAATTTTTATCCTCACGAATATTTTTATGTTCATATCCTACCTTTGTTGAATTACTGTATAAAAGCCCTTTCTTATTACATCAAATTTGTGTTTTTGAAAAGCAAACATATTTATAATATGCTTAATGTATATTAATAAGTAATTAATATTTATTTATGAATGTATTTAATATATGAGTCTATACATTACCGATTTATTAGTATTCATTAATAAATTAATAAATATTAATAAATAATATACATTATAAATAAATGTATATATCTATGCATTTAATACATATTTATTTATATATTATTCATAAGTGTATAAAGCTATACATGTATTATGTAATTAATTTATCTTATTTAATGTGTATTAATAAATAATTGACATATATTTACAATATACTTATTGAATAAGACAAATGCTAGTAAAGTGACTTGCACTGTTGCAAATATAAAAAATATGTTAATTTAAATTAAAAAATGAATTTGAGCTGATGAATATCAGTGTGATTCTAAAAATGTCCCTCTGTTTTAAAAGACTATATGTTCTTAAATTTAACTGGTAAATACTGTAGAAAATATTTGTTGATTTACATGATGTGCGAGAGTGTGTGTATGTATACAAGCATGTGTATGAAAAGTTTAAATTAAACAGTAGCCTTGTCACCATAAACACTTATCTGAGATAATTGGCCATGACATAGCTTTGTAGGAACACTTCAGAGGCTGCGCTGGGCTTGAGAAATGTAATATAACAACTCTCTTGACTTCAGTGAAATAAATGTATATTATATATTAATTAACACTAAAAATCTCTTAGCACCACAAACCTGCTTTCTTTGACAATTCTACATATATTTTAAAGTGTATAACTGGTATCTCCTAAACAGAAACAAGTAATCTGAAAAAAATTCAGGATTTTAATGGGCAATATATAACAAGTTACTTTATTCCAATAATATAAAAGAAAACTAGTAGGCAGAATTTTGTTTTTATTTATTTTGTGATTTAATGATTTTCATGATGACAATAAATGGATACATTCTTGTTTGTAATTCCCCCTTTAATACCCACACATAATACTTCCTCAATAAAATGTTATTGAAGAAACAAATAGATGAAACACATCCAGATAAAAATAAGCCAGCTACGATCTCGTTCTATCATAGGCACGTGAATGACACCCATGTTGCCAAACGCTGTGGCTCAGTCGTCAACCGTCACCTTGCTCATCTTGCAGAAGTATTTGGGAGTGCTTACTGACTTTTCTTCTTTTCATCATCGACTTTTATTCAGAAACTTCTTCATTTGGTGTCAGCATACTATTTTCATAGTTCTCTTGCTTTACTGGGCACTTTTTCTTAAGCTCTTTCCTAGATTCTCCCAAAAATTCTTGATTTCTAATAAATGAAAAATTCTAGAACTCATTCTTCAAACTCCTTCTATTCTCTGTACAATCTTTTCCTAGCCAATATCACCATCTACATATTGACCGTCCTTATATTATATCCTTGACTTCATCATGCTCCTAAATTCCAGACTCATAACAGGTGCTATTACAAACTTCACTTCTAACTAATATATCCAAGATACTTCTATATTCTTTCACCAAACCTGCTCCTTCTTCAGTTAATCTTTCCCATCTTAATAAATGATTTTCTTCTTCACATCATTCACACCTCTTCCCATGACAATTTATCAGAGCTGTGATCCTTGACCACTGTGTCCCTCTACCCTCCTTCATTCTTCACTATCTGTTCTCTTTTTCCTCCTTAAAAGTAGGTTCCATGAAACTTGAGACTGCTATTTGTTTATCTAACAGCCTCTATCCCCAGTTTTGAAAAGTGTATGGTTCATACTAGGCCCTCAAGAAATACTTTTGAGTGAGTTAAATATAAGACTATAGTAAGTGCTTCTCTCATGTGCTATCTAGACTAGATGCCTGTGCCTGGAGTGTAATACCTGGAGTTAAATGGATTCCAGTTTATGTAGAAAGTTTAGAAAACATTTCTGAAAGGAATAAATTTTAGTCTTTCTCAGGAGTATGAAGAGGACTAAATGGGAAGGATTGTCCTTACCTTATGAAATGAGATGTATACCTTAAACTATAATTGACATTAAGTGGGATTCTAGTATTAAAGTCCAAACCTTCATTTCATTAGTATTAATGTCCAATTCTTCAATCCTAATATAATGTTGAAAACTATACTAAGAGACTGGGCACGGTGGCTCACGTCTGTAATCCCAGCACTTTGGGAGGCCAAGGCAGGGGGATCACGAGGTCAAGAGATTGAGACCATCCTGGACAATAGGGTGAAACCCCATCTCTACTAAAAATACAAAAATTAGCTGGGCACGGTGGCGCGCACCTGTCATCCCATCTACTTGGGAGGCTGAGGCAGGAGAATTGCTTGAACCCAGGAGGCGGAGGTTGCAGTGAGCCCAGATTGCGCCACTGTACTGCAGCCTGGTGACAGAGCAAGACTTCGTCTCAAAACAAAAAACAAGAAAACTACACTAAGAGACCTAGCTCTAGTCTAAGCCACTTTTCTCTTCTTGAGAATTCCTCGTTTCCTGAACGTTACTTTGAGTTCTGTATTGCTCCCCTGACAAATTCTTTTTATTCCAAAACAGAACCCTTGCTTTCATTTGCAATATTTTTTCACATTATCTATTTTTTAAAACTAAATTACTGTAAGTACTCTATTTTAAACAACTGGTTACTAAGGAGGCATTAATTGTGTCCATTATGATCTGCAATTTATTATTAGTACGTCTTCCTTTGTTCAGTAGCCCTGCCATTTTGCATTGAGATTTAATACTGGAAAACAAATTTTAAACCCAGTTCAGCTCATTTGGAAGTATAATTTCAACATGAGATCTGAGCTGAAAACAGGTACCTCGTTCAGAAATTTAAACCTAAGACACTTCCTGTGCAACAGTATTAAACATCCTCTATCTGTAGCAGCTCAAGGTTTTACTATTTAACCATTTTATGACTACTTTACCTAAAAGCTGCACCTGCTTCTTTGATTTATATTATATATCTTATTGAAATCAGGCCACACTTTCCTTTACTTATTTTTTTAACACTTACTAAGAGAAGCTGATAAAGAAAAATATTAACATTTCTGGACCGGTCTGATGATAGTACTTTAAATTATTTTTCCTAACTCTCTTCAAACAAACTAACTCTCTTATTTTTCCTAACTCTCTTCAAACTCGTTGTTTGCCAGGTGAGTCTATGAAAACAAATGAATCAGTCATTTCAGAGAACAATATATCTACCAATTAACTGGGTAACCAATTAACCAATTACCTATAAACATAGGCTTTATTTTAATATTAAACATTTAAATTTTGTATAAATATTGTTACAAGATATATTCTTTGTTACATATACTGTGACTAAAGACCACAGACTGGGTGGTTTAAACAAAAGAAGTATTTTTCTCACAGGCTGGAAGTGTGAAATCAACATGTTGACACGATTGCTTCCTCTGATAACCTTGAAATACAGGTGTAATTGCATAAAGTTGTAGTTTTTATAAATATAACATTTGAAACCCCAAAATAATATATTCTGTGAATATCTTCTCTTTATGTAGGCCATTTACAAAATATGGAAACCTTTGAGATACCACAGTTGAGAAGTATCTGTTTCAAGCCTCTCTTTCTGGCTTATAAATGGCTGTCTTCTCGTGTCTCTTCACATTGTCTTCCCTCAATATATGTCTGTGTCCAAATTTCCTCTTCTTATAAGGCCTCCGTAGTATCGAATTAGAGCTCACAATAATAACTTCATTTTCATTTAATTACCTCTTTACAGATCTTCTCTCCAAATATACTCCCATCCTGAGATCCTGAGGGTTAGAACTTCAAAGTATGAATTTTGGGGGTATATGATTCAGCCCATAATATATGTTTAAACGTTTACCCATTTCATTTTATTCTTTTTATTGGAAATATTAAAATACAATATTCCTCTTTCATTGGTGTAGTAAACATTGACTGGGTGACGCCTGCCAGATATTATGCTAGCTTAGAAGACAAAAATGGATGAATACATTTGAGCCACAGTGCTTATTAAAAATTAAAGTGGAGTTTCTTCTGACCTTTAATGCACTCTCCAGCTTACCAGAGTTCCCATGATTCCTAATTGTACCCAACTAGTATTATATTTTTATTTTTATTTTTTTAATTTTTTTTATTTTTTTATTTTTTTTGAGACGGAGTCTCTCTGCGTCGCCCAGGCTGGAGTGCTGTGGCACGATCTCGGCTCACTGCAAGCTCCGCTTCCTGGGTTCACACCATTCTCCTGCCTCAGCCTCCCGAGTAGCTGGGACTACAGGCGCCCGCCACCACGCCCGGCTAATTTTTTGTATTTTTAGTAGAGACGGGGTTTCACTGTGTTATCCAGGATGGTATACAGCCTGTGAGAAAAATACTTCTTTTGTTTAAACCACCCAGTCTGTGGTCTTTAGTCACAGTATATGTAACAAAGAATATATCTTGTAACAATATTTATACAAAATTTAAATGTTTAATATTAAAATAAAGCTTATGTTTATAGGTAATTGGTTAATTGGTTACCCAGTTAATTGGTAGATATATTGTTCTCTGAAATGACTGATTCATTTGTTTTCATAGACTCACCTGGCAAACAACGAGTCTTGAAGAGAGTTAGGAAAAATAATTTAAAGTACTATCATCAGACCGGTCCAGAAATGTTAACATTTTTCTTTATCAGCTTCTCTTAGTAAATGTTAAAAAGATAAGTAAAGGAAAGTGTGGCCTGATTTCAATAAGATATATAATATAAATCAAAGAAGCAGGTGCAGCTTTTAGGTAAAGTAGTCATAAAATGGTTAAATAGTAAAACCTTGTCTCCTTTGTCTCGCCCTAGTGTGTGACTTCGGGACCTTCCTTAATCTTTTGGCAGCTCCCTGTCTTCATCTTTTGAAAGGAGATATTATTTATTTTTAACTTGTAGGTTGGTTATGAGGACTATATTAGGTTTATAAATATCAATAACTTAGAAAAGTGTCTGGCCCATGAAAAACATGTAGTGCGTGATTAAGGATTTGGCAAACCCAGTGAAAGAACGTCCAGATCCAAGAGGAGAATCCTAGGTATAATATTTTGTTCTAGAAACCACACTACATTATGGAGTGTTCATTAACTTACATTCAACACCTACAATACTGTGAGTGACTGCTGATATTGAAAATGATGTACTCTGAGCCTTCGTAGATCCAGAGTTATAGGAGTAAAAGTTTAATTTTCTTCAAAATAGTAAGGCTAAGATTTGAAGCAGGAAACTATAATAATAAATATAAATAAAAGGTAAAATATACTATATATACTACATACACTAAGAAATATTTTATGTACCAAAATATATTCATATATGTATACACATCAAGTAGAAATAAATAAAATGACTGTAGGATTTAGGAATTAGTTCTCCAATAACCAGAATACACAATTGACCAAAATATTTGCCTTCTGGTATACTTATAAAAATCTCTAAAATATAGAGTTAATTTGGTTTTCTTCAATGTAATCCTACTTAATTTCATGGTATTGACTTGGATTTCATATTTTGAATAGAGGATCCTAATACAGAGAAAACTGGTATATGTTACCATTTTAGGTGTCATAAAGCTCTAGAAGCTGAAGAATTCTCTGGAGACATGTAATATTAGGCAAATAAAATAAGGAGCCATCCTGCTCCTAATTCAGAGTAAGTAACTGCTTTAAAATATACTGGATTTATTTAGCCTCATCAGATTAGGATATAGCCAAAATCAATAAATAATCACTTGTAAAATTTGAGGTAGAATTTAGAGAAATATTTTCAAATAAATATATTTTTACACACCTATTATTAATACATAAACTTTGAATGAGTTTGTAAATAATCTCTGAAATCTTTTGTACAAAGTTGGAACAAAAATTTATCTGGATAGTAAATAGAGGTATAATTGCATAACGTTGTAGTTTACATAAATATAATATTTGAAACCACAAAATATCTGAATATCTTCTCTTTATGTAGGCCATTTGCAAAATATGAAATCATTTGAGATGCCACCCAAAAAAATGGTTAATCTGTGAATAAAGACAACAAGATCTTTGTAGCTTAAGTAGCTGGCCATTGTTTTTGGGTTTAAAAATTTCTTTTAAGTTCAAAATATTGCTCTGATAAGCTACAAGTTTGTAGCTGCTCCCCACCAAATGATAGCGGCCTTGGCATTACCATGGGAACAATTGTTACAATTTGATAATCCTATTTTTCACAATTCAATTTGTGATTAGAAAGATTTTCTTCATCCTTGATCATTTTGATGTAGAAAGGATTTGTTAAAAGACACAAAATTACAGTTAGAGAGGAGGAGTAAGTGCTAGTGTTTTATACTGCAGGATAGCTACCGTTAACAATAAAATATTATATAGTTTCAAATAACTAGAAGGAGGATATTGAACATTTCCAACAGAAAGAAATGATAAATGTATGAAATCATAGATATACTCATTACCCTGATCTGTTCACTGTACATTATATATTCCAAAATGTGACTATGTGCCCTATGAATATATACAATTATTGTCAATTAAAATAATATTTTAAATGATATTGAATAAACTACTTTTTTAGAAAAATTTAATTACACAAAATGATATGAGTACACACTATTTAGCTTTTTAAGTGTTTCCCAATATGTTTACCTGCTATGAACATGTTATATGAATAGTATTGAACCATTTTTCTGAGCTCAAAATTTATAAATGTTCCTTCATCTCTAAAATTTCATGTCCAAGTGGCTATTTATGGTTCTAATGTATTTCATTATTTTTGCTTGTACACACATTCACATTAGGCTATGAAACGGAATGCACTATATATTATAGAACATTTGTAAACATATGATAATTTTCAAAGTAGAATATTTATCACTTATGATTTATTTATAATCATTTTTAGGTCAGGATTAAAATGAGATTTAGTCCATTCCCAAATATTCTTCCAGAAATGTAACTTTTCTTTAAAAATACTAATATTTCAGAACTTGTTAAAACATACTCTTTATAGTACATGGATTGATGTGCTAACAAAACGATATTTTAATAAGATAACTAGGTTCATCTAAAATTATAGTAATACTATATTTCTGTATTTGTTTCAAAGTTATTAATATTTGCCTGTAACTGGCAAATCTCGTATTAAGTATTAGTAGAGCAGAGTTTTATCCAGACTGACTTTACAATTAGTCCCTTCTGCCTTGCAGAAACAATGTGGTTTATTGGCACTTGAACAGGTCTAAGAGTAAGAAGATCTGGTCTAGGTTGGACTTTTATTAGCTTTGACATTGGATGTGTTTCTGTCTCTCTCTGTAGATATCGATTAAGAAACCTGTAAAGAAAGTTCTCCAATCTCCTATAGAATCTATTGAATATTTTTCTATTCAATAATAAAATTGTTAGGACAAAATCTCTGTATCTGCTTTGACTTCTTCTCTGCTATGCTTTATGAAGTAAATGACGTTTTGTGAAAACCTCTGCTAACAAAAATACATGTATTTTTTATAGTCAATATCTGTCTTCTTGTCAGTTCACTCTCCTCAGACCATACTTTGCTCTAAAGCATCCTCTATAATACCTATACAGTTATTGAAATTCTCTTCTCTCCAGCAACTCTGACATTGTTTTTCCCTTGTTCTATTCTCACCTCTGCAAATGCTCCTTTTCCAGCAGTATATACCATGCCGAACTTGAAAAACTTTTTGATGTGGGAACATTTCAATATGGATGTTGGAAAGAGCAATTTCGATAATACAGTATTTCCACTTCTCTCATCAGCTCATAGTTCTCTTCCTACCCTGTACACACAAGCATTTCATAATACAGTTTCCGACATTTCATTTTTCTTGTATTTTTTTCTTTTTTAAACATAAGATTTCTAAAACTTTAATTATATGACTCCAAAATCTGAATTTATATGCATGTAATTTTTTTTTCTGAATTCTGGATATCCATTTCAACTTTTGAAAACATTCTTTTTCTGTGTTTCATGTTGACATTATTAGATTCTACCCATATTAAACTTTTGCTCCTCTTCTTTGCATAAGTTCTCACACCTGTTTTGCTGCTCTTTCTGCTCATAACGTTATCTCCAAGTCACCAAGACAGGTTCATAAAAAACAGGAAAGCTGTGCAACTGAAGAGTTCTGGGTTTGAATCTAGGCTCCACCATTAACAGCTAACAGATTTAGGGGAAGTTATTGAACCCCCTCCTAAGCTTCATTTTGTCTCATCTATAGAATTAGTAGATGATGGCACCTGCAGCACAGGGTTTTCAAGGATAAAATGATGCAATGCCAGAAAGGCCCATTACCTTGAACATAAAATGGTCAATATGATTATCCAATGTTAGCTTAAAACCTCAGAGTCATTTTCAGGTTTTTAGTTTTCTCAAAACAAATATCAATCGTTTGTCAAGTCCTTGTCCTACTCCTAAAATATTTCTCTCATTCAAAAATTAGTTCATTTATTTGCTTATTCAATGAGTGGATTATGTGGAACTGTCCTGGGTGTTGGGTATCAGTAATGAGCAAAATGAACAAGTCCTCATTACCTGTCCCTTAGATAACCACAGTAACTCTCAGATCCATCTGCCTCCATTCCTCATCTAGCCCATCCTAAACACTCTTGCCAAAGCAATGTACTTAAATCTAATTGTTGCTTAAATCTCACGAGTGATGAGAAAAACTTCCATTATATTCCAAACCATCTACATGGTCATTCCCCACTGTTCTAATTTTCTACTATTGTCTTTATAGCACCCAGAGTGATTCTAGGAAAAAGTAAAACTTGTCAGTCTTCTGCTCAGATCCCAGGATTGGGCTAAACTCTTCAACCCTTCCCCTTCCTCCTTCTCCCAGTCATTCTCTTTACCTCTCTCCTCTGAGGACATACAAGATACTGTCTACCTTGGGATTCTTTACTGCTGTTTCCTTTGCCTTGAATGATGTTTCCTGATGTATCCATATTCTTTTATTCAAATAGTTCACCATGAAGTCTTCCTCTGACTTGTCTCATCCTTTGAGGTTTTATTTAAGTATCACATTTTCAGTGAAGACTTCCCAGGCCATTCATTTTGAAATCTTCCCCTCCTCTCAACATACACAACTGTGTCCTCTCTCTGGCTTCCGTCATTGCTTCTCCTGAAAACATAACACTATGTAAGAAAACACATTTTAACACTTAATTTTGTTTTGTTGTATATCTCTCCCACTGGTATGGAAGCTCCCTGAGGAGAGATTTCAAGTCATAGATTTCAAGTCATCATTTTCACTGCTGTAATAGCACCTTATAGAGTCACTAGTGCATAACAGGTGTTTGATAAATATGTGTTGAGTTAGTCAATGAAAGATCAACTTCATCTCTCACTGCAGCTGCCCAGTGATGTCCAAACTCAGTTGGAATTTTGGGGGTTTTATGCCTTTTTCCATATCATTTCACCTGCTCGGAATGTGCTCATCCTCCTTCTTCCTCCTCATCTATTTTCACTAGTCATAGTAGTCAAAATTATACATTTTGACATAGTAGTCAAAATTCTACTTATGTTTAAATTTCTTCCCTAAATGCCACCTCCTGACTGCTAATTTTTTCCTCTGGTTTTTGTACTGGGAGTGGCAACTTTCAATAGCATAAATCACATTCAACACTTTTCTCTCATGTCCCACATCAAATCTATAAAATCCCGTGGCTCTACCACCCAAATGGTTTTGGAATCTGTTATTTTCTTCCTATTTCCACCAATGCTATCCTATCCAGACTCCATCCTATGTCACAAAAGTATTACAATAACCTCCCATCCCACTTCTTAGACCGTCACTCCTTGCTGTTTCTCTTCAGCACAGCAGCCTGTGACCTTTTTATGACATGATTCAGATCATGTCACTCCTCTATTCAAACCCTTTACTAAATTTCCATTTATCTAAGGATAAAATCCAAAGTCTCTCTTATGACCTAAAAGGACCTAAATGACCTTCTACTCAACTACTTCTCTGATGTAATGTTTCATGACATCTTGATCATAATGGTAGTGCCAAGAAATGGTTTTGTAGAATGTAAGGGCTTCATAAACATTTGTTTTATTTAGCAGGTAACAACTGTGTAAGCACTTACTATCGATATTATCTATTAAGCCACTAAGCAATCCTGTTAGAAAGGTGCTATTATTATCTCCATTTTAAACATGATATACCTGAGGCTTAACATACTGCCTGGTATGAAATAAAAACATAAAAAAAAACATAAAAACATAAAAAAAAAATAAAAACATAAAAAAACTTATTTTTATTAAAATATAGAATATATCTCTTGACGTGTTATGCAGATAGATGGCAGATATATTTTACTTTTAAAAAAGATAATAGTGAAAAGAAGTGAAGTCAAGTGTCTAATAAAATTACAGAAATATAGAACATGGTAAAGTGTGGAATACTATTGGCAAAGATTTTATTCCAGTTTAGAAGGGCAAATTTATCTTAGAAAAAAGATAGCAGACTCATTTCTCATAAAATTGTGGCTGGGCACAGTGGCTCACACCTATATTCCCAGCACTTTGGGATGCCAAGACAGGTGGATTTCTTGAGGTCAGGAATTCGAGACTAGCCTGGCCAACATGGTGAAACCCTCTTTCTACCAAAAATTACAAAGATTAGCCTGGTGTGGTGGTGTGTGCCTTAGTCCCAGCTACTGGGGAGGCTGAGGGGGGAGAATCGCTTGAACCTGGGAGACAGAGGTTGCAGTGAGCCAAGATCATGCCACTGTACTCCAGCCTGGGTGACAGAGCAAGACCCTGTCTCAAAAAAATAAAAATAAAAAAATAAATATGCAAAGCAGCCAAATATTCAGTTACCTTTTGTCAATTATATTTAGTGAATTTCAAAAGAGTAAAACAGACTTACACTGGTCATAATTGTTATAGCCTCAAATTAGAAGAAACAGAAACTCCAGCAAGTGAAAAGGAATAATAAATAGACAAACTTTGAATTTAAAATACATTTATATTATTTTATAAGGAAAACAAACTAGTATATTCCGGTGACATTTTTGGTTAACTCAGCTTTGTCAGCATAATAATAATGAATGTTTATTTGCTGCTTCCCAAGTGGCAAACACAGTTACAACCATTTTAAATGGACAATCTAATTTTGTTCACAATATCTCTAGAAAATGTTATTATTATTTTTCCCATTTTACAGATGTGTAAATTAAATCATACTCTATTGAATCTCTTAGTTATTAAGTAGTAGAGCTAGGTTTCAAACACAGGGTCTTTTATCTCTACAGGTTAGACCCTTAAATCTAGGCTCCTCAGGATACTCAACGGATAAAAGATTAAACATGTTTCTATGAAGTATTGTTGCTACCCTTGTGAAGAGAACAGTAGAAGGGGTCTCTGTAGCTTTAAAATTGGTGCTATAAAACAGCTTACATTTCAGAGAAGTGCTCTCAAAAATTACACTTATTTTGTTAAAAAGTAAATTTAGCTATCTGAAGATCTGTAAAACTTAGCATATGTTCCATAGTGACACCAGTTAATTTCATTTCCGTCACCGGGAGTGCTCCGCAGGTATATTGTAAATTGCTATGAATTACTGTGGCTGTGACCCATTATCATAGCAGGAAATTGCATGAATCTCACAACTGATATGAAATATACTGCTGTCACTGTTATGCATTAATTTCTAAGTAGTTGGTCATTTGTAATAATTCTGTAAATGTCCATCTTAGCACAGTTTTCAGTCTAGACAAGTTAAGCCAATGTGCATGGAATTTTCCTCATTATCTTCAAGCAGTTATACTGAATTCTAAAATTACTTTTTTATTGGACAATTTCACCTTGAATATCTTTCCAAGAATTGGAAACATGCTAGTCTCATTGTCCTACTCTCTAATACTTAAGGGAAATTTACTCTATAAAAAGTAAAGCCATTTGGCTATATATGATTAGAAAGACAGAGTGAGAAAATCTCTGATGAATGTCAACAGTGTATTTTTTTCTTTCTAACTTGTATTGAATATATTAATGATTTATTAGATTATTCTTAAATCGTATTGACTCCCACTTTACTGAGGTAATTTTCAGATAATGGTATACTTCATCACGATAGTTTTAAAAAGAACATTTTTGCAATAAGTGTCCTTTACATTATAAGTAAACATATTTCACCATTTAAAAACCAAACCTTTACAATGCAAATTATACTTTTCTTCTCTTTTCTTTGATATTGACATTATTCTCCTCACAAGAAAGAAAATTCAAATAGCACACTTCATTGAAACTTCTTGACAATGGTGAATTATATGTTGTCTCCCTATGTTATACTTTATATTTTAGCATAACATATATCTGTTTCGAGTCAATGCTTCTGGCTAGAAATTCTCTTCTTTGGTAAATCTTTGAATACTTTTAATAATTTTTGAATTTTTTTATTTCCACCCCACCATATCTCAGGTTTTCAGATGCTTTTTCCTTTATCTTCCAAAACTATTTTCACCCTCTATTTCAAAAATCTGAATTATAAATTTACTGACACATAGTTTCTAGAAATGTATACCTTCTTCTTTTTTCCTGTAAGTCTGTCATTGGTCTTATAGTTACTCAGTTAAGGATACTCTGACAGATAACTGTCTACATTACTGATTTTCTAAATCCAATGCCTCATGTAGCCAAAAGCACACTTCTGTCTGTACTTTGTATAATTTTGACATTTGGCACATTGCATGCCATTTAATTTTAGTAAATTAAAATAGGGCGCTTACTTGGTTTTAGGCACAGGGCTAGATGCTTGGGAGGGGAAGATGAACAAAACCAGAGACCATGGAGGGCAGCAAGACTAATGAATAGAGAAATGAGTGAGTGTGTTTTATATAAAATAACAGTAGATATAACTGGTAGATATTATGTTCTATAAGAACAGCTATCCTGTCTATCTGTGTTATAACTGCATTATCAATATAGAGCCTGATACACAATATTCAATAAACAAAAATTTGAATGTTCTTGAAAGGAGAAATGGAGTCTACATTGGACATTATTTCACAGAGAAAAATTAAAGATATCAATTTATTTATATACACGTACCTTGTCTCTTTTTGTTGATGCTGCATCTTTCAGCAGAAAGAAGAATCATTCTGAAATATGTTTTGGTATATCCAAAATTCTAAGATAAGCTGAGTTACTATCTTCACATGTAGATATTCACTGTGTGCATTCATAAGAAAAAAGAGCATCTCTTTATAATCTTTTTGGGAAATGTTCAGTATATAATTGTTCAACAGAAGTCATCTTAAGAAGTCTTGCCTGGGTCTTTGCCATGGTCTTGCTAAAGCTCTTCTCTTTTTTATTCTTTATTGTACCAACTCCCAGTCCAGAGCTAACCATGCACCTCTCTTCAGTAGTTTCTCACTGTAGCAAATGAGGCAGAGACACATTGCACTGCCCAAATTGTTCCTGGCCTTACATTTCTAAGTATGCCAGGGCCTTGAATAAGGTAGTTTTGTCCAATATCTTTCATTGTAACACTGATGAGAAATAAATGTAATTCACAGCCAGGGACACTGTCTGGAGTGTTCACATCGTCCCCATGGCTGCATGAGTTTTCCCTGGGTACTCTGTTTTTCTCCCATATCCCAAAGATGTGCCCGTTAGGTGAACTGGCATGTCTAAGTGTTCCCAGTCTGAGTGAGTATGGTCTGTGTGAGCGTGCCCTTCAATACCATAGCTTCCTGTCCAGGGCTGGCTCCTGCCTTGTGCCCTGAGCTGCTGGGATAGGTTCCAGCCACCCCAGCCCTGAACTGGAATAAGCAGGTGTATTAGTCTGTTTTCACGTTGCTATAAAAACACTACCTAAGACTGGGTGATTTAAAAAGAAAAGAAGTTTAATTGGCTCATAGTTCTGCAAGCTGTACAGGAAGCATGGCTGAGGAGGCCTCAGGAAACTTACAATCATGGCAGAAGGCAAAAGGGAAGCCAGCATATCCTACATGGCTGGAGCAGGAGGAAGAAAGAGCAAAGAGGGAAGGTTTGCACACTTTCAAACAAGCAGATCTCATGAGAACTCCCTCAATATCATGAAAACAGAAGGGGAAAATCCACCCCCATGGTCCAATCACCTCCCACCAGGTCCCTCCCCCAACATTGGGGATTACCATTCACCGTGAGAGTTAGGTGGGGACACAGAGCCAACGGTTAGAAAAAGAATGAATGAATGAATGAATAAATGAATACAAATTATTTTAAAATAAAAATCTGTCATGTGTACAATAATCATACAAATACATGGCATTAAATGAGGCAGTACTAAGGCACTCCACAAGCCACCATATTTGCCATGGTTTTTGAACTACACAGTGGGAGGAGGTGCTCCTTAAAGTGTTTACTTTGCAAATGTTCATTCCTAGATGTAACCCACTACCCATTCTGACCACTGTCTCGCAGCTATTCACCAAAAATTGGGTTAATAATCATCTTGTTTTCATGAATTTTTCTTAAATGAATCTGTATCTTACATTTATTTCCATGTTTAATATTAGAAGTGCTTCGAGTGTTTATTTAGAAATTTGGTGATGTTTTCATAACCAGAAATATGCCATGGGAAGTTAACTCTTGTTTATATCAATTAGCCCAGGGTAAAATTGGTTTTGTTATACATTGTTTAAAGTCACAGTTTCCAAGAATCTATCGAGGATGTTAAGTGTGAACTTCAAGTACTTGTCCACATATCCACAGCCCGCTGCCCTATATTCCAATCGTACTGGAACCCAGTTACTTAAACAGGTTTTGTCCTCACATTTGCTAAGCCTGCTGACACTTTTTCTCCCTCTCTGTGTCCTCCTTAATTTTCACTTACAGAAGTTCCAATAATCTCATATTTTCATTTCCGTATCCTTTTCCAGGACCTTCCTTCACATGATAATCTTTCCTTTCTCAATAACTCCTTGCAGTACCTCAAATACAGAACATATTGTCATCTACTGTATGTGTTATGCCTCCTCCACCAGCATCAATTTCTGATAAGAAAAATCACATTTTGTGGCCAAGCGTGGTGTCTCACGCTTGTAATCTCAGCACTTTGGGAGGCCGAGGCAGGCGGATCACTTGACGCCAGGGGTTAGAGACCAGCCTGGCCAACATGGCAAAACACCGTCTCTACTGAAAATAAAAAATAAATAAATAAATAAATAAAAAGTAGCTGGGCATGGCGGTGCATGCCTGTAATCCCAGCTACTCCGGTGACTGAGGCAGGAGAATCACTTGAACCCAGGACGTGGAGGTTGCAGAGAACCGAGATCACCCTGCTGCACTCCAACCTGGATGACTGAGCGAGACTCTGTCTCAAAAAAAAAAAAAAAAAAAATATATATATATATATATATATATATGAAAAATTACATTTTACTTATCTTTTTACTATACACAATTTCTAATTTAAGCTTTGCACATATAAATATTTAATATGTCCATGTAAAATTGAATAAAACTGCAATTATAAGGGCGTTTTCAAAAATCACAAATCACCACAGAAAATCACAGTAGAATGCTATCAAACTACAGCAAACTATAAAAATAGTAGCATGTCTAAAATCAATTGTCTTCTTCATACCAGTATAAATATGTGATTGAAAGTTATTTCCCCACACACTGTTTGCATGTTTTTGTAATACACCTACCTGTTTTGTCAGGTGTTCTACCACCAGATGTGAAATAGAACACTGTGAGGATTTACTTGGTTTGTTATAATATCTTATCATTCCTTGTAGGAGGTAGAAGATGAGGTTATTCAGGTGAGCTTCTGTGTAAGGCATGCCTAGGCCCTGGCAAATCTGGAGTGAAAAACCAGATGGGATAAGGGCTGAACATGAGACCATGCTACAGAGACAGGGGAAGGACGACATTTTAGACGCAGTTTCTAAGGAGACTCAGAATTCACGGAAGCTGATATTGGAGCATCCTATCAGTTCAGGTAGAGTGCAGACGTTAAAAGTCCAGTTGGCCAAGGGATATATAGCATTAGTTCTCAGTGTTGGGGGTTAGAATGTTAGAATCACCTAGGTTTTTTTGGTTTTGTTTTTGTTGTTGTTGTTTTTTTTTTATCTGGGAAGCAGTATTTTAAAAAAGCTTCCTGGTTCCCTGCTTAGCCGGAATTAAAAAAAAAACAAAACAAAACAAAACAAAAAAAAAATTACATAAAGGAATTAAACAGACTTAAAGGTATGAGACATTTGTCCAAAGGTGCGGTATCATTGCAACAGACCTGAGATCTCAGTACAGTAACCCTGAATCCCAGCTGGGAGAAAAATAACTTAAAGCTCCGGCTGGGCGCGGTGGCTCAAGCCTGTAAACCTAGCACTTTGGGAGGCCGAGGCGGGCAGATCACGCGGTCAGGAGATCGAGACCATCCTGGCTAGCACGGTGAAACCCCGTCTCTACTAAAAAAAAATACAAAAAATCAGCCGGGCGCAGTGGCGGGCGCCTGCAGTCCCAGCTACTCGGGAGGCTGAGGCAGGAGAATGGCGTGAACCTGGGAGGCGCAGCTTGCAGTGAGCCGAGATCGCGCCACTGCACTCCAGCCTGGGCAACAGAGCGAGACTCTGTCTCAAAAAAATAAATAAATAAAATAAAATAAAAATATTAAGAAAAAAACCTTAAAGCTCCTAGAAGAGTGGAGCTGAGGCTACTTCAGGTCTTCTCTCAGTCTAGGGGTATTAAGGAACTAGAAGACAGAGAAGAAAAACACAGACATCTATGAGCCCAGCTGCGAGGTTGCTGGGTAAAGCGGAGACAGAAGGGACAACATACTCAAACTTTCTGGAGACATTGTGCCTTTAATAGCCTGTATCTTGTTAAAACCACAGAAAGTACTGAGGTATGCCCAATATTGGTGAGAATTCTAAGCAGGGATCTTACATGATTCTGTTCCTAGCTCTTCTCACTCTCTAAAATACTTTGTTGGCTTTCCTCATAATAATTCTGATTCTTTTACATTTGTCTTTGTTTCCCAGATCTTTTCAGTATACTGTGCCAAACTGTGGATATTGGCTTTTCTATATTCCATAAGGCAATTCTAATACCATTACCAAATTTCTGCTGAAAACTTAGGGGCTAAAGGTGGTTGGGTATGAATAGTAGCCATTATAATTAAGATAACTGTCCACATCTTCCCACATATGCCCTTTTCGGTCATAT
Organism: Homo sapiens; assembly: GCF_000001405.40. Classification (NCBI taxonomy): domain Eukaryota; kingdom Metazoa; phylum Chordata; class Mammalia; order Primates; family Hominidae; genus Homo; species Homo sapiens. The sequence goes on from NC_000003.12 coordinate 89,204,365, forward strand.
TTGTCTTCGGATCCTGTCCCACATCTTGTTAATCATAGGGATTTTCCAACATCAAATCTCCATCTTCTGTCTTCCTGACTCCTCGGCCACAAATGTAATTCTCTGATTTGACACACCACACACACACACACACACACACACACCCCAAACAAAAAAACAATTCTATTCCTCATTTGTCTCAACTATTTGACATTACTCTGATCTTTTTATAATATACCTTTAGAAATATATATCTGTGTGTAAATGTGTGTGTGTGTGTGTGTGTGTGTGTGTACTTTTGAGACCAGAATGGGCTAAGGAAAACTACTTATGAATAAATAGAAATATAATGATTTTTGTAGATATATTTGTGCGTGACACTTGACAGTGACAGCCTTGCTGTAAGAGATTCTGCATGCATGCTTAAAATGCTGCTGCCTGGTAAATGCCCAAATACTTCCAGGACGAAGACTGGATTTTGAAATGGCTATGAGTGTACAAGGGGAAATAAACATAAGAATAAAAAACGTGAGTGGAGAAAGGAATAACATGAACCGACTTAATATCACTTAAAATTACTGGGTGCAAGATTAATCATCATCAGCATTTTGTAAAGCGCAGAAATTGGTGTTTCTTATAAACCATTGAAATGCAAAAATAATGTAAATGTAACAATATTGCTGATGCATTTCCCTTATATTGTCATCCACAAATTTCTTAGAAACTGGTTTTAAGTCTTAAAAGGTAAATCATGACTATCTTGCAATCTTAATATTTTCCAAATTATATTAGCTTGTGCACTAAATTTATTGCAGCTTCTGTTTCTCTTAAAGGAAGTGTAAACTTCCTCCTCACCTTACTACCCCTTGTTAGCAAATAAATAAAAATGTTTTCTATGAAAGTAATTAATATCAACAATAAATATAAATTCTTAATTACCATAATGATGATATACTAGCATAATAGTTATTAGGTAAATGCCAGTTAATTATTAAAATATATGTTTCCCTCAAAAATATATGTTTGATTCAGTGACAAGGAACTGTGCTATCTAGAAAATATAAACTAAGAGCCTCCTTAGTATCTTATACTACCTTTGATGATGGAGAGGTTTGGTGTGGTTATTTTCAGAATGGACTGTCCAGTGGGAGAAAGTTTGGATGCATAGGTTTCTTATACTTGAAATGATCCAGAGAAAGATGAAAATACAAGGAACCCTATGTGGTCTAATAATTAAAGCTTAAAGTCAAAATCTGGAAGCTAGGCTAAATATCAGAATTGTTTATTTTAATGAGTTAGAGGTTGAAAAAGTATTTTGAGCTCCTCTTTTGTTTGTATCCCCTTCTGCTGAAGCTGTTACTGGTGGATACCAATCACAGAGATTTCTTGAAAGCATTAAGAAAATGAAGAGAAAGATGCTTTTCACCACCAAATTCTATGTTACCATTGCTATGTCTCCCTTTTTTTTTTCATCTCTGCCTTGAGACAATTTCTTTAGCAGGATAGAATCTCTGATAAAATATAATGATAATATATAATGAATATTATACATTAGTTCTTACAGTAGAAAAATGAATGAAACATGGGCATTCTTTACATTTACAAAGCATGAGCATTATAACAGCAGCTTTAATTAATGATTTTTTCTTGTTGCTGCTGCTATGAGAAAATATTCATTTAAGAATTTTATTTCTACTGTCTTTAGTCCTCAGCAAATGCTAGAGTTAGAGACTTGTTGTTTTCGCAAGTGGTCTGAGATGGCACATCACCATCCCTTACAAGCAATTTGGCCTTCATTACAAATTAATGAAGTGATAATTGCTCCTTGCAACCTTTTATGTGCAAAGAATGCTGGTTCTGTTTGCATTATCTTCTTGCAATGTACACCTCTGTTTTCAAGGACTTGTGGTATCTTGCCAAATGTTAAACTACACTGAGATCTCCATAATTAAAATCATATTTTACATCAAGTTATGAAAACCTCTACACAATATGTTCTGTTTGATGTCCAGTAAAATGCTGTTCATTGCAGAATAAATTTGCAAATGATTCATCAAAGTAACAATCTCATTTATTACTAAAAGGAAATCTTGACTTAAGAAATTTAAAGTCAATTGGTTTACATTCAAATAATATTGTCATGATCGAACTTTCTATAAGATGGTTATGGAAAGCATTTGTTCTCTAGAGTTTTTGCTACATCTGTACTTTAAAATGCCATTGTAGAACCAAGGTAATGTTACTAGAGAAGACTCTATAAAACACTAACTTTTAACACCAGAGATTTTTGGAGCACCAAGTCTGTTGACTGTTTTTTTATATTCAACATATACATTCATTTTGCTTTGAATGTGACTGTATTATTATAGGCACCTCAATGTAAAACCCTAAGAACTGAGACGCTCAGTTGCTCTTATCTTCTTAAAAACTCAGTATATTACATACATATAGAGTGGATGCATGAAAATTGTATATTGGCAATTATTACAAATATAATGTGAATATTTTCTTTCCTTAAACTGAGGTTAGAATGTATCTTGTATATTACTTCTGAGATCTTCTAAAATAGTCTCAACTTGTTTCGTTGTTGAATCTCGGATGTGACAATGAAGCTAGGTCAATTTTGCCTCCAGAAAATGAGTGCCTATCTTGTATTTTAGATCCTGAACGATCAAGGTTTTTAAAATAAATAGTGCTGTTAACTTGTTTTGTTTGTAAGTTAATAGGTGAGCTATGAAGAACTAGAAGTTTTTAAACTGTGATTGTCACAACAGTAAAGTTCACAAATTGTTTTTTATAATTTAAGAATTTAGTATAAAAAAATTTCCCCTAATGAGGCTTAAAGGCCAAATAAATGTCATGTTCCTTTGTTTGTAATTACCGACAATTTAATAAATTAATATTTTATTTTATTTTGTGATTAGAAGGTGTGAATTAAAATTTCTGTGTCTTTAAAGATGGCAACAATAAAAACTAGGGACTGCTGAAGGAGAAAAGGAGGGAGGCAACAAGAATTGAAAAACTAACTGTTGTGTACTATGCTCACAACCTGGGTGAGAGGATCAATCATACTCAAAACTTGACCTCATGCGATGGACCAATGTAGCAAACCTGTACATGGCCCAAACTGGGAAAATATTCGTACAGATGAATTTTAGGCAGTAGTATTTTTTATTCTTTTTTTAAACAAACAAACAAAGCAAAAAACACACAAGAAAATCATAACATAGTGTCAATAGAAATAGAAAAAACTGTTAATGCATTTTATATGCTGTTGATTTAGTTAAAAGTGTTTAATGTCTATTGTTCTTGATGAAAATTATTAATGCTTTATTGGAGAAAAATGTAGGAACACATTTATAATGGGCTTCACAAGGGTTTTATTCATAAATTTAACTACAATATTTAAATATATTTAAATATTTTCTCTAAGAAAAACGTTTTGTTGTATTCCCATGAATAACTCTTACTTATAAGAAAAATAATATTTGTGCATATGCCAAAAGGTGAAGTTTTGTGCTCCATACTACAGTGAATATGAAGAGACCTGCCTAAAATTTAGCAAATGCCTATGAAACAAAATTAAACTAACTTTAGCATGTATCATGAATTAAATTTACAAATGAATAGGGGATTCAATAAGGGTTCTATAATACAGAAATTTTCTTAAGATTGTCAGGGTTATGGAAGGCATAAGGCAGAAGAATGCACAGTCCCATGGGGTTATACCGTAAGAAAGGCATATTCCAGATGGGCACAGTGGCTCATGCCTATAATCCCAGCACTTTGGGAGGCCAGGGCAGGTGGATCACGAGGCCAGGAGTTCAAGATCACTGGCCAACATGGAGAAACCCCATCTCTACTAAAAATATCAAAATTAGCCAGTTGTGGTGTTGGGGGCCTATAATCCCAGCTATTCAGGAGGCTGAGGCAGGAGAATTGCTTTAACCCAGGAGGTGAAGATTGCAGTGAGCTGAGATCGTGCCATTGCACTCTAGCCTGGGCGACAGGAGCAAGACTCTGTGAAAAAAAAAAAAAAAGAAAAGAAAGAAAGAAAAGGAAGGAAGGAAGGAAGGAAGGAAGAAAGAAAGAAAGAAAGAAAGAAAGAAAGAAAGAAAGAAAGAAAGAAAGAAAGAAAGAGAAAAAGAAAGGAGGGAGGGAGGGAAGAAAGGAAGGAAGGGAAAGAAAGAAAGAAAAAAAGAAAGAGAAAGAAAGAAAGATAAAAAGAAAGAGAAAGAAAGAAAGAAAGGGAAGGAAGGAAGGAAAGAAGGAAGGAAGGAAGGGAAGATTCCACAAGTTCCACAAGAAAAGAATAAAGGACAGAATATCCACCACATCTTTCGTAAACAATAAAAGAGTTTACATTGACAATAATATAATATGTGGAAATATTACTTATCTCGATTCAAACACTTAGAAAAATTAACATGTGGTTTAGGACCAGTTTTAAGAGGAACACAAATGTGAAATTCAAGAGTTAGAAAGTTTTTGCGTAAGTAACAGAGATCCCTAGAAAACTTTACATTCAAGAATGGCATGACAAAAGATGTAGTTTCCTGCAAGAAGTAAGCAAAATGGGGCATAAGAGGAAAGTATGGACACAGAGATAACAGAAACAACTGGTCTAATAGTTTTAGGATCATAAGTAACACACACTTACGATGCTAAGTTAAAAGCTTCTCAAAATTTGTCCTAAGGATCACAGAAAATAGTGCTTCACTGTTCTCAAAAGTCTGAATGCTTTTAAAGGTTTTTACAGTGATAAAAGTTGTTCTAAGATAACCTTAACTGCTATAACAACAAAACCCCAAATATCTATCTATTTCTTGACTAAGAAAAGATCCAATGTGGGTGCAAAAGGCTTTAAGAATCGAATGTTTGCCATGTCTTCTGTTTTTCACACATAACTTGGTTTTATATTTGGCGGGAAGCTGTGGGGTGAGGAACATTTCTATTTTTACTTCAAATTTTTTTTTCATAGTTCTGCAACACATGTCCATTGAAATGACAGTACATTAAAAAATGTCATGCATGATGATACATAGTAAAAATATCATTTATATTCACTTTATTTTACCTTATATCAATTTTACCAAAAACCTGGCACAAATTGGGAAAAGATTAATAAGCATGAATTTTAGGCAGTATTATTAATTTTTTCTTTTTTAAACTGAGAAAAACACCCAAAAACATATGAGAAAATAATATTATAGTGTCATTGGAGACAACTGATTTGAGGTTTTGATCCTGGAATGTTTGATTAGGCTCTATTAACTGCTAAGTGTCTTTTTCCTGAATATTCAACAAACTGTAACGCAATTGAAATGTGTTCATCAAAATTATAAATTACTTTATGTCCATTAACTCAGAGAACCTTGCAAATAAAAACTACAAACAAGAATGTTTTTAATGAGTAAATGATGATTTATTATATAGAGATGGCTCTGACACCCTTATGTTGTATTCGTTATTATCATTAATTCTGCCTCACTCTCTGTTTCTCTTTGATTCTTCAGTGGGAAGAGATCAGTGGTGTGGATGAACATTACACACCCATCAGGACTTACCAGGTGTGCAATGTCATGGACCACAGTCAAAACAATTGGCTGAGAACAAACTGGGTCCCCAGGAACTCAGCTCAGAAGATTTATGTGGAGCTCAAGTTCACTCTACGAGACTGCAATAGCATTCCATTGGTTTTAGGAACTTGCAAGGAGACATTCAACCTGTACTACATGGAGTCTGATGATGATCATGGGGTGAAATTTCGAGAGCATCAGTTTACAAAGATTGACACCATTGCAGCTGATGAAAGTTTCACTCAAATGGATCTTGGGGACCGTATTCTGAAGCTCAACACTGAGATTAGAGAAGTAGGTCCTGTCAACAAGAAGGGATTTTATTTGGCATTTCAAGATGTTGGTGCTTGTGTTGCCTTGGTGTCTGTGAGAGTATACTTCAAAAAGTGCCCATTTACAGTGAAGAATCTGGCTATGTTTCCAGACACGGTACCCATGGACTCCCAGTCCCTGGTGGAGGTTAGAGGGTCTTGTGTCAACAATTCTAAGGAGGAAGATCCTCCAAGGATGTACTGCAGTACAGAAGGCGAATGGCTTGTACCCATTGGCAAGTGTTCCTGCAATGCTGGCTATGAAGAAAGAGGTTTTATGTGCCAAGGTAAGAGCCTTCTCTATTTTTCTTTGAGCAATATTTCTCACCTATGAGTTTATCATAGTGTCATTAAATGAAATGCACTCAGTCTCAACTCACTTGGCAGGAAAACATGCCTCAAACTGACCATAGTCTATTTATGGACTAAAATTAATTCCATTTGATGTGGTAATTCATGCTTTGCTGTAGAAATATTAATGTATTTGATTATACAGTGCTGGCCTGCACCCTGTAATAGGTGTTATACATGCTATATTTAAGTTTTTCTGCTGTTTAATAACTAAGGTAATCTAATTCTAGACCACCTGGAAGAAAAACATTCTATCTCTTTTATGTAGAAAGTTGAGAAATCTTTAGCACTCAGCTAACCTAATTCTAACAGAATTAGATACTGTGGTGGTTATTTATGCTGGTGCTCATCTATCTCATAGCAATATTTACTTCATTGCTATAAAGTACAGTCTTTTCTTCACTGACATCTGGGTATCAAATACATGTTTACTTACAAGAGATTAGTGCTTTTAGAAGATTATTTGATTTAAAAATCCAGAGCTGATGCTTCAGTGTTTAATGTATACAGGCATGATTTTTAAGTGTCTTTTGCACCATGATTTGGCTCGTTTTAGTGCTCAAAAATTATTTGTATCATCCGTTAGGCTTGAATGCATATTTGATATTAATATAATATCACAGAACTAGAACTCTTTAATCAAATTAATATTTATTAAAATCGCTTTATATTTTAAGTGGAATCAATTAAAATATCATTTTATATAAAATTATGTATATCAGCTGTGCTATATCATATCATAATTTCACTTAATCCCAAAATTTACTTAGCATTAGGCAAGGTTTTATGCTTAAGAACACACTAAAATTGTTACTCAAATTTTAAATAAATAAATATATAGGAGAAGTTAAGTATATTGTCCTTGAAATTTTGTCCATTTTAATGCCCTTGCTTGCTGTTACACTCTGTCAAGTCTGGTGTTCTACTCCTGATCGCATAATCAGTCACTTTTCTCAAATGCAAGTGGAATAAATGAGACTACTTTGCATATAAATTGTCCTCTTTAAATCTGGACAGAACATAATATTTTGCTTTTGACTGTAGACATGGTTCACAGAATAAATTCCTCTTCCTCTTCCTCTTCCTCCTCCTCCTCCTCTCTCTCCTCCCCCTCCCCCTCTTCCTCTTCCTCTTCTTCTTTTTCTTCTTCTTCTTCTCCTTCTTCTTCTTCTTCTTCTTCTTCTTCTTCTTCTTCTTCTTCTTCTTCTTCTTCTTCTTCTTCTTCTTCTTCTTCTCCTTCTCCTCCTCCTCCTCTTTCTTTTGGCTAGGTAGGATAGGAAAAAAGAAAGCTAAGAATAGTAAATGGTAAATTTTTCTCTTTCAATGACTGTTTAGAGAGAGAAAATAAAGGAGGGTAGAAAGAAATATTGGCGACTAAAGAACGATTTAAGAATCGCATGCCAAACAAACTCCAAGAAGCACCAGGAAGGTAAAGAGTACTTATTACAATAAATTTGGTGAAATAGAAATGCATATAAAAATAACTATGCAAGCTTAAACTGATAAGGAGTGGTATAAAAATTAGTAAGGAAGGTAAGAAAATATGTGTCATACCGTTTACTAGGAATTTATCTAATATATTTTAAAATATGACTTTTATTTAAATACATTATCTCTCATATTTGATGAAAGAGAAGGATACTGTAATATATTTTCTTTAATTTACCATGTATATAACTTAAAATTTATTTGGACCATGTTTCTGGGATCTGGGCAGACTTGCTGGATTTTGACAGCATGGTCAAATGGCAGGTGGGGTTGTTTTTTTGGGGAGGATGTTCATAAACCTCCTTTTAAAAGGGTAACACTGAAAAATTAAAATTATAAAGTGACATACTAAAACTGAGTCATCTGGCATTCACTTTCAAGCATTGACAATATTTTACTTGATTTTTTCATTTGGATATTTCATATTTTTTAGATCCCAGCATAACTCTTCTTACTGGTTTTCTCTTTTTAAGATTGGAAGTGTGGGAAAATTTTGTATTAATACCAAGGAAACATCATGATTTTTTTTTTTTGTTCTTTTTAATCCAGCCTAATGAATTATGTTATCTGTTTTGGTTTAGTTTGGAGGGGAGAGATGAGGACGCTAATGGCTTTTTATATAGTCAGTTAATTACATTTGAGCCAGATAGCAGAAGGTTACTATAAATATTCCTTCTCATATAAACTTTGTTTAGACTTAGTGTACCAAATACCTTATTAATGTCACTGAAGAATTTGTTGCTCTGTGCTTTATCTCTGCACATTCATTGTGGAATGCTAACTTTATTCCTTCTTCTTTTACATTAGCAGCTAAATAGAAAAGTGTGTTTGATGTGATGTATGAAGACACCTAGACTTTTTGATGACTATCCAAAATTATATTTGTTTTACTTCTGACTTAGGATACCAGTTCTTACTCTCCACTCATTTCTCTGTTAATTCAGAAACTCTTAAAACAGCTGCCAAAGTTTCAATAACAGGATAATTTTAAGACTCTGCTTGCTCTGACAGAGGCGCTAGAGAAAATTGAAAACCTTAGTATATTCTTCACACCTACTAAGTCTGTGTGCACAATCAGAAGGCACCCTCTGGAACTGCAAGGTGCTCATGAGTGTGAATGAACTCAGAAGCATTCCTTTCTAGTTGTTTTTTGCCTGGAAGTTCCTTAAGGGGAGACACCAGAAATGTCTTTTCTTAGAAACATCTTGCTTAGAACATAGCAGAATCTAATTGAGTAGGTTCTCAAGTAGATACCTATAGGATGTGTAATTACTGTGAGATTTCTATATTTCTATACCAACTATCCATTCTTAGAATAGAGGTCCTGAAGAGAATAGACTTTACATTATTTATCTTTGATTCCACTACGCCTTTCAGAATGCATTGCAAATAAAGATGTTAATTTTATCTAATTTGAAATAAACATATTTGATTATTAGGTCACATACAGTTGCAGCCAGGCAATAATAGATTCATCTGACTTCTCGTTAGAATAACGAATAGATGATGAAGTAAAGGAATAACAAATATTTTTACGGTACCAAAGATCATACTTTTTTCTTTTATGAATTTATGATGCATATTATCTTTCTGCTTTAAAATAATCAATTGTTTCTAGATTAATACCTGTAATAAAGCAACCGTCTAAACAATTTTTGTAGATGCTGAAATAAATGTGGCATTTTTGTCCCTTAAATTTACTGATCTAGTGCTTAAAGCATTGGCTCACCTCGTAAAGACTACCCTATAATTATCGAGATTCTTACCTTCGGTTATGAAAAATTTCCTTTCTCTGAGGTTAAAATGACAGCTGTCTATTTCCTCTTTGCCTTTAGCAGTTATACATCCATTGTTTTTCCAACCAATGAATTTATTTAAATAAAAAGTATGGCACTGATAAGTAATAAGATAAATAACTTTAATATAACAAATTAAACAGATACATTATAGCTTTATAATAGCTATCAAGCCTCTGATTTATACAAGATTCTATGTCTTCTCATCAATTTATGTACATGAGCCTAATGCCAAAAAAATTTCTGCACTTGTCTTCAAATTACAGTTTGCATTTAATTGTTCTATTTAGCCAAAAGCTCTTGTCACTAACAAGTGTTTGAGGGCTTGGGCTTAGGAGTCCTAGGAATGCAGCTTATTAATTTTGTGGCTAAACATTTTGAGCCTTAGTTTCTTCATCCACAAAAGGGATGGGCTTCAAAATGGCCAGTGGATGTATTGCTTAGTCCACTGCACAATATACAGCACTAGACACAAGGTATTTGAACGTCATTATTTTCAGTCATCAGAATCCCTGAAATGTGTTACCTTCCTTGTTTTCTTGTTTCAATACATTTTAGAACATTTAGATATGATGAAATCACCCATTCAACAGCTTACCTTAGACCTTAGACATATTTTAAGAGATAAAACATGTATTTAATGAATGTATATATTTGTGTATTCATTATTTATTCATTGATTGCCCACCTTCTTCCAAACAAGGATCCAAAAGGATTGTGCTTTTCTAAAGAGACATTTTTTTTGTTCAATTAAACCTCTAGTCTATTAAACCATGGGTGATATTTCCTCCATTATCTTATTGTTAAGTGTTATTTTTCTTCCAAACAGCAGTCACGCTTGATTTTTCCCATCTGGTATTGGACTCAGTCTCTTTTTTTTCATAGTATGAATCTTCCCACTGATTTTTCCAAAGTGCCTTGAGTTTATAAATGCACATTTTTATATTGTATATTCAGAAAGACTTTTAGGTTTTAACTGGTTTGATTTAAGAAAGCATGATTTAGGAAATAAGCAAACAACTGCAATGCAAAAATAAAATTAAAATGCTACATCTCAAAAATGTTAAGCCTAGGTTTTGTTCATATTGTGTTTGTGTCCTAACATTCCTTCTATAAAAGACGAGTTTAGTTAGTTGGAAAGGATATACCAATAAATAATGCCCTTGCCTTGAAAGAATCATGTGAATCAAAAATAAGTAAGCAACTAAGAAAAAGAAAAATATATCTGTTGAAACATTTCACCTGACTCTGGATAGAGCTAACTTATCTATTTACTTTGCTTTAGGTAGTTATTATGTATACTTAAGAATGGCCCAAATACTATAAAGGCAGTGGAGAAGCAGTATAAGTTGTTTGAAGTATATGTCAAATGTGCTTACACGAATTATTATTATGTGATATTACTGGAAATCTGTGATCAAATTATGTGAGTGCACTATCTAAAAAGTAGTTAAAGTAAAAACTTATTTTTTAATATGAAAAGTGAGAGAAAGCAAGGGAATATATTTGGTTTGTGACTTCTTAAATATTGTAGCTCATTTTTGAGTCTCTATAAAAACAATATAAATTTAAACCATGGATTTGCAAGTTTAGGAAAATAGAAATGTGAATTCTTTGTTCTGTATATACTGCAAATCAGATTATTTTGAACACTCAGACACAATGTAATTGCAAACATGTTTAGGAGAAATATGTCTGTGGTTAAATTTAGGGAGTAGAGCAAATTCATATCTAAGCATTTGAATACCTCGTAATGAATAAGTTAAATGATCAGCAATGAACCACTATAACAGGCCTTAAAAATCACAAGAAGTTCCATAAATGTTAGTAACATTCTTACGCAGGATTACAATTAAATAAGACTTACAGTGTTTTAGTAAAATATGAACTGTTTTACCTTATGTGGGTTAACTTTAGTAATATAATCTCACCAATTCTGTTCAGAGGGAAAAAATCTTAAAACACATTTTCTCTTTAAATAGGCATTTCACTCTACTTAATCCCAACCTAAAAGATGATTTTATAGGTCATTATTAAAGTATACTTCTAAAGCTCTAATTTAACTCACAGGCATTCCTTATCAAATGGCTGTGGGGTATCTGCTTTATAGTATCAAGTTCTTTTCATTAAATTATTATTCTTACACTAAGTTCTTTGGGCTTTTAGATGCTTTGACTGGTCTAGTGTTTCAAATGTGCAAATAGTAATTTAGGTAATATCTATATGCCAAGTGTATAATCTTTGGGAAACATAAATAATGTGTCCATTAAGCAGTTTATTTGTTTGAGAGACTATGGTAATGTATGGGTTAATCTTCCCAGGACAGTATTCACTATGAGCATCTGAGGCATCAGAAAATAATTTTGGTTGCAGAAAAAAAGTAGCTCTCATTTTACTTGAAAGGGGTTGTTTCCATCATTTCATTTTCAGTTTTCTGTCCAAAGGAAGATAGAACATTGCTTTGTAGACAACTCACTAAATATCTATTAAATGTAAACTTACCTGTAAAGTGATTGAAATTGTCCAAGAAAAAGACATATCTAAACTTCTTTTTTCTGTGAAGGGTGGGATATTGGTTATTGTGAATATGTAAAAATTATAGTTCTCCTATCATCTTAATGAATATTATCTTGTCAGCTAGCTCGTGAATCTGCCATCATAATTTACTGTCAAGGCTGGTTGGACCCTAAAGAAAGTCTTGAAATTCCTTTTCTTTAACTTAAGGTGTTTTATATGGATGACCTTCCTTAGCTCTGATTTGCTGCGTGCCACTTTGTTAAACAACTTCTGTTAAAGCATACATGTTATATAATTTATGGCTTTTGTAAAGAACATTCATCTTCACTTCAAACTTATCCTTTTTACTCTAACTATTCAGATACTATAAAAGCTTCTGTGTTTTCAACTTTCAAGATGCAATGTAACCATGTTTTTCAGAATACATGTAATGATTCCAGAGAATGATTATTGATATTTCATTAACTTTTCCAGCTAATGTTTCATTTTCTTTAGTCAACTTCTTCCAGCGTAAGGAGAATAAAACCCTATGCAAAATAAACTGAGAACTAGATCTTTTTTTCCCTCCTGATGGACTTAGATTCTGTGAAATATACTGGTAATAGTTTCACAAAGATTGCTTTGTCAATGCAGATTCATTGAACACTTTCCACCTTTTTTTCCTGTGATTTCTCCACCCCTTTCACTTCTGTCTGTGTTTAGAGTTTTGACAATCCCTTATTAGTTCCAGAGTAGAACTTATGAGAGCTAATAAGGGTTTACATTACAGCTCTGACAGCTGGCACTAAAGTTTAATAGAGAGCAATTGTAAAGAAGTATAAGTGTTGATAATATTTGATGAAAGTGCTCTTAAAGAAAGAGCCTTTTGGAAATAATCACATAACTAGAAAAGCTGCATATATGCTCTTTTTTTGTAGCTTCTCATCTTCCAGTATGCGGACAAAACATCCTGTTGGCAGATGACTCTGTAATTGCTTATGGATGCCTTTTCTAGGAACAGAATCCAGGGTCGTTAAAAAAACAAAAACAAAAACAAAAAAAAACTCTAAACTTTGGTCATATTCTTACCGCTATTTCTATAAATCTCTGAAATTCATGTTAACTGTCCTTTAGAAACACAATCATAACGTGGACATCTAATCGCAGATTCATTCTGTGAGAAGAGACCCCAGGGATTCCAAAGGCGAGTCATTGAGATCATGAAACCCATAAACCCCACATAATCCACCACAGACTTTTTGTATTATTAAAAATAAACAAATAAAAAGCAAGAATGGCTTCAAATATAGAAAGACCCTGAGTGTAAAATATTTCTGAATTCTCTATTCAATGGTCAGTTGCAATGCCACAAAAGGTTAAAAGAAAATGCTGCAATTGAAAACAGCTGTGGCTTTTTTAACATGAAGACTAACTTTCAACAAAGAGAAAGTATATGCTATGAGATGAAGGAATACCTGAATTTATTGTGCACCAGGAACATGTAAAGTTTTATGAAACTGAGAAGTGAATCTGAATATATAAATAATTGGTAAGGAACATTTTTGCTTCTCTGATAGTTACTGGAGAGGAAAATTTGTATTTCAGAGATTTAGATTCATTTACTGTTTATCTCATACTTCTACATTGAATATAAAATATTTCAATCCATCTATCATCATGCATAAATGTTTTATGGCATACAGAATTGATTCATGTATTGAATTGGGGGGAAGGAGGATATAGTTCTGGCTGTAAAGCATCTTGGATTTTATTATTATTATTATTATTATTATGCTTTAAGTTTTAGGGTACATGTGCACAACGTGCAGGTTTGTTACATATGTACACATGTGCCATGTTGGTGTGCTGCACCCATTATCTCCTCATTTGGCATTAGGTATATCTCCTAATGCTATCCCTCCCCCCTCCCCCCACCCCACAACAGTCCCTGGTGTGTGATGTTCCCCTTCCTGTGTCCATGTGTTCTCGTTGTTCAATTCCCACCTATGAGTGAGAACATGTTTGGTTTTCTTGTCCTTGCGATAGTTTGCTGAGAATGATGGTTTCCAGCTTCATCCATGTCCTTACAAAGGACCTGAACTCACCATTTTTTATGGCTGCATAGTATTCCATGGTGTATATGTGCCACATTTTCTTAATCCAGTCTATCATTGTTGGACATTTGGGTTGGTTCCAAGTCTTTGCTATTGTGAATAGTGCCACAATAAACATACGTTTGCATGTGTCTTTATAGCAGCATGATTTATAATCCTTTGGGTATATAACCAGTAACGGGATTGCTGGGTCAAATGGTATTTCTAGTTCTAGAAGAAGACATTTATGCAGCCAAAAAAATATGAAAAAATGCTCATCATCATTGGCCATCAGAGAAATGCAAATCAAAACTGCAATGAGATACCATCTCTCACCAGTTAGAATAGCAATCATTAAAAAGTCAGGAAACAACAGGTGCTGGAGAGGATGTGGAGAAATAGGAACACTTTTACACTGTTGGTGGGACTGTAAACTAGTTCAACCATTGTGGAAGTCGGTGTGGCGATTCCTCAGGGATCTAGAACTAGAAGCATCTTGGATTCTAAAGGAGATATGAACTGAATCTATCTTAAAAGGAGGCAAGTATCCTATTCATAAGGAAAAACATGGTCTGGTAAGCATGAAAGACAAATGTTGTTTAGAGACTCATAATCTGCTTCTAAAGTGTCATCAAAGAGTTAAAGAGTTAAGGTTTCAATCTCCATGGAGTTTAATATTTCATCATTTACCCATTTTTTCACAACAACATTTTTTTTTTTTTCGAGATGGAGTTTTGCTCTTGTTGCCCAGGTTAAAGTGCAGTGGCAGGATCTCGGCTCACCGCAACCTCCACCTCCCAGGTTCAAGTGATTCTCCTGCCTCAGCCTCCTGAGTAGCTGGGATTACAGGCATGTGCCACCCTGCTCAGATAATTTTGTGTTTTTAGTAGAGATGGGGTTTCTCCATGTTGGTCAGGCTGGTCTCAAACTCTCCACCTCAGGTGATCTGCCTGCCTTGGCCTCCCAAAGTGCTGGGATTACAGGCATGAGCCTCCGTGCCCTGCCCCCCACAACAATTTATGAGTGTCTGCTATACCAAATGTCAACTGGAAATGTGGCACTAAACAAAACAGAAAAATGTTCCTGCCCTCAAGGAACTTAGATTTGAGTGGAAATATTAAGAAACCACATGTTAATACAGATCATTCCAGGGTATTACCTATAGAATTCTGGAGTCTACACCAGTGTTCCTAGCCCAGGTGATGTTACCTCCAAGAGGCATTTGGCAATGTTTTTTTTTTTTTTGTTTTTTGTTTTTTTTTTTTTTTTGAGACGGAGTCTCGCTCTGTCGCCCAGGCTGGAGTGCAGTGGCGGGATCTCGGCTCACTGCAAGCTCCACCTCCCGGGTTCACGCCATTCTCCTGCCTCAGCCTCCCAAGTAGCTGGGACTACAGGCGCCCGCCACTACGCCCGGCTAATTTTTTGTATTTTTAGTAGAGACGGGGTTTCACCGTTTTAGCCGGGATGGTCTCGATCTCCTGACCTCGTGATCCGCCCGCCTCGGCCTCCCAAAGTGCTGGGATTACAGGCGTGAGCCACCGGGCAATGTTTAAAAATATTTTTGGTTCTCACAGCTGAAGAAAGGGGTTGCTTACTGGCACCTCCTGTTTAGATGCCACACATGTTGCTAAATATCCTACAATGCACAGGGCAATGTTTATAGCAAAGAGTTATGCAGACCAACATATAAATATGTAGTGGAAGGGTTGAGAAACTCTGGTCTAGTTTAATCATTGTCCTTTACAGATATGTCTATTAAGGCTAAAGGTTCGAATTATACATTAGCAGAGCTCGAATTGGTACTTGACATCTTGTGATTGTGCTTCAGGACACATTCGTTCAGGAATTTTCTTTAAAATTAGTGAATTTTTGAAGGCATATAAAGTCTTACTAACTACTTAGATTATTGGAAAGTGACACCTCTGCAAGAAAAACAAAACTAAGATGGATTTTTTTCTGGGAGAAAGAAGAAAGATTTCAGGAATAGTGACATGAAGATGGATATTTTAAAACTGAAAAACAAAAAGTTACCTGCAAAGAGCTGGTTAAGGTGACTGACGTTCAGCGGGTAGAGTTTCGTAGTCTAAGAACTCAGAATGCGAATGGAGTAATAAAAGAGATATCAAATATAAAGCATTTGGAGGTTGAGGGTGTTTCCGTATGGAAACAGTTCAGACAGCTGTTACAGAGTTAGTTTCCTTTGAGGATATTCTGACGTGCTGACATGAAATCAAATCTAACATTTGACTCCCTTTTTTCTGTAATGTGATACTAATACAAAAAATGACAGGTAGATGTGGTTCTATTCCAGGACATATTGTGTTAATAGTCTTTGTATAAAAAGTTTCTATGCTTTAGTTTTAGTACTGGTCCTTTGACAATTAGAGTGGCTCTTCGATATCAGCTGTTTCTTTTAAAAATAGCCATTTCTTTCCTTTAGCATGTGACTGAGCTTGGCACTTCATTTAATCCTCTCAACAACATATGAGCTTGGTGGAATCATGTCTCCATTTTGCGTGATAGAAAACTGGAGGCTTAGAAAAATCAGGCAATTGTCCAAGGTCACAATTAGTAAGTGGTTCAACTGGAATTTGAATGGTAAAACTGGAATTTGAAAGTGGAACAGATCGCTTGTGTGGGACCACTGTTTCCTATGCTTCCTGGCAGAGAGAGGCTGAGGTACCTGAAGCTCATCAGCCTGCTTTACCAGAAATAGTCCCTGAAGCGCAGAGTATGTTTACTGTAAGGATGCTTCTCAGGATGTTATTCAATACTTTTCATTGTGTCCTCTCTCTGGGACCAATCACGGACATTTACTTCTGACTCCAAGGGTGGGAGTGATTGTGTTCCTTAAGCTATTCACTTGTTTTTGCTTTTTGGATATTGATTCACGTAATGGTCATCGTATCTTGTTTGCATTCCCTATAGAAGAGCAGAAAATTACGTGTCTTCCTGTATCTGAAAAACATACATAGATACGCTCTCTTAACATGCCTTCTAAATAGTAAACTCACTGTTTTATTTATTCTCTTTATGTACCCTTTTTGGTCTACTCTTCACCTTCTAAAATGTATTTTATTGTAATCTATTCCATCTTGAATTGTGGGAATGCTTTCTCAAATACGAAAAGCCATACATACATTTAAATTACTATTTATTGATTGCCTACTATGTACCCAGTGAGGAATATACCATTTGATCCTCACCAAAGCCTTACGAGGTAAATCTTATTATCGTTATTTTATCAGAACAGGTCTAAGAAAATTTACTAATTTGACCAGTGTCACAATGCCAGAATGTAAATTCAGGTCTGGCTGACTCTGAAACCTGATGCTTTTCATAATATAATATGTCAATAATTTTCATCTGAAATGCTTCTGCAAGTCACCATAATGAGAAAATTTGCAAGTTCCTGCTGCCAAGGGGATGGTTGGAGAAATTGGTTATAAGAGTTGAGAAAAAAAAGATTGGCAATGGTGGTATAAAAAGGCAAAAACCTCATATTAATTAGCATAACATCTCTTTCTTTAACATAGGATTAGGTAAGCCTCTAACACGCAAATCTTTTCACAGGGCATCTCTGGCCTTTATTTTCTAGGCATGTGGAACTGAGCCACACCTCTAATTGCTTCTGCTTCTGTTTCCATTGCTCCTGCTGTTGCTGAGGACATGATTGATAGGAGATGATGGCTAGTGGAGAACCAGGGCTCAGAAAGACACTTGCTATGTGCCCAATGTGTATGCTTGCACAATATGCTTCATTATTAGCTTGACAGATCTCCAAGTGGCAGATTGGGAATGAATTTTGGACCTGGCTAGCATTTCTGTTACAGACATTGGGTTTTTAAAAAGCTCATAAATACATATACATATATATATATATATATATATATATATGTATATGTATATGTATATACCTATGTATACACACACATATATACATATATGTACACACACATGCATGTAAATATATATAGATGTACATGCATACTTGTGTGTGTATATGTATATAGACATAAAATGCAAAATAATATATGTATTATATAAATATATATAAATATATGTATGTATAGATGTATAGATATGTGCATGTCTATACATGTCCATACACATATATGCACTTAGCACTATATACTTAGTACATATACATTTTTAGTAAATGTGTACTTATAAGTGTACTTTAAATTCTTTGTTTCTAAAAAATTGAGAAGGGTGAAGGCTGTAATAAAATATCACATCAATTTCTGGTGGTATTGGACTGCTGCACACATTCCTACATTTCTTTTACTGCTTTTAGAATGAGGCAGCACACAAAATACGTTAATAAATATAATATGTATAACTTCCAAAACTTGAAGTGGTAACACATACTGATGAAGCTTTACACTTCATTAAGTAAATGAATGTGACTTAAAGTTGCAGACTTCTTAAGTATCTGACCTGGTTGTTCTATACAAGGATCATGTGTGGAACTAATTTTCTTTGAAAATGTTATTGGTGTTATAGATTACAAACTTTTGTGTTGCTGTTAAATATTTCTTAGTCTTTTAACCTTTACAAAATCTAAAAGCTTATTTAAAGCAACCCTTTCATTAACATAATACAACTCTTTAAAAACACTGATAGTCAAGAACAGAAGTAATTACCAGGGGCTTTCATTGTTTATACTTGTTATACTTTCATGACAACATGTATGCTGCTTTAAAATCTATTTTTTCTCCTTTTTAAAAAACTCCTCTTACGATCATTCCCAGTAAATCAAAATCTCTGCAAGATGATGGGTGGCATCATGGTGTTCTATGAGTGCTTCAGTGCGGAACTATTAGGAAAGGGAGGCTGAAAGGAAATGCTGACTCCATCCTTCATACGGTTGATGGTTGCTCTTATTAGAGATGAAAAGAAAATGAGAAAATGCATTGGCTTGCTTTTTATTAAGCACAGTAGGTAAAACAGATGAATGCTTGAAGGCTCATTGAGCTGCCATAAAGAAATTTAAACATTGTTCATATTGGCTAGTCGCCAGGCTCATGCTGTAAACTCCAGATGAGGGTCATGATTGCAGAGGAATCGTCAGCTCTATTGGTAGACAGTTTCTGTACGTTCCTAGACTAGTAATAAACCTGAGATTTACCCAGCAGGGTTGGTGGGATTATGTTTGTTGTACATGACTTGGTATCCATCTTAATTCCTACAAAATAATTAAGATTTCTTAGCATAAAATGATGGCGTGACTTGACTTTATACATTTGGATTTTGTTTGTATCATTGTATTATAATACCTTATATGTGTGAATAAATTTAGCTTCCTCATATGTAGATCTAGAATAATATCTAAGAGTAAGAGTGGAGAGAAAATCGTATAATAAAGTACTAAAATATGGTTAGTAAATATGGTTCTAAAATATAGTAACGAATTTTTTAAGTTAAAAAATAAAGCTTTGTTATCATTATAATTTGTAATCTTTCTAAGATTAACAGTGTGCTTTCCACTTCTTTTTAAATTCTTTCAATGCCTGGTTCAAAATCTGAACACAGCTTTTGTGTGAATAATGATGATTATTTTATCGATCAATATTTTTGCTTCTTTATTAATAAATGTACTATAACAATATCTAACAAAAAATGTGAAGCAATAAGAAAAGGTGGATAACTTTCTTGAACATAGGCACACATGGGAGATGTAAACCTGGACATTTGTTACACTCTCATTTGTAGTTTATTTCAGAGATTTATAGCATCTCTCCTATCTACACAAATAATTTACCATGAAATTTATTCAAAATTAAGCTTCATAAAATAGAGACATAATCCAAATATTTGGCTGAGTGATCATGCGGTTGACTAAATCTTTAAATATTGAGGTTGCCAGGGCAAATGAGTTGGGATAGTTAATTTACAATAAAATGATAAAAGAAATTCTGCTGTATTAGGTAACACCAAATTTGCCTTGTATCAGTTTACCTTTTTTCACCTTCATTTTATTTTTAGAAAGTTACAAAAGAAAGTAATAAGAAGGTAACTGTTTTTATTTCTGAAGAAGGAAGATGGTTAGAAACAGCCATTAATTTCTATTAAAGGTAGAGATACTCTTATAAAGCATACACTTTTTGGTCAGACACGGTGGCTCATACCTGTAATCTCAGCACTTTGGGAGGCCAAGGCAGGCACATCACTTGAGGTCAGGAGTTCGGGACTAGCCTGGCAATCATGGTGAAACACTATCTCTACTAAAAATACAAAAATTAGCTGGGAGTGGTGTCATGCATCTGTAATCCCAGCTACTCGGGAGGCTGAGGCAGGAAAATTGCTTGAATCCTGGAGGCGGAGGTTGCAGTGAGACAAGATCATGTCGCTGCACTCCAGCCTGGTCAACAGAGCAAGACTCTGTCTCAAAATAATAATAATAATAATGATAATAAATAATAATAAAAAAATAAAAAGCATACACTTTCTAAATACTCTTTGATGCTGAAAAATATAGACGGGAAAGGTTAAAGAGTGGCTGTGATTAGTGAGATTAGCTTTCCAGTTTAAATAAAAATTTAGCAATCAAATTCAGTTAAAAAGAAATGGATTACTTTAAGGATGTAAAAATGTGAAAGTTATTTGGAAATTATCAAGTTATTTACAAGTGAAATTATCCATCTTGGAATAGCTATGTTAAGATCTAAAGACGTGAAGGTAGTAATTTGTAATCACATTTTATTTGCTATTATTTATTCACTGGTCAGTCATGGCTATGATTATGTGCTACTGCTTCGATGCCTGTAATGATCAGAAAAAAAATGCCTTTATAATCCAGTGGATTCTATGACTGGAAAAGTCAGTGAAAATATTCTATGAATCCTCGGAAAATACTCTTTACTTACTCCAAAAGATTTTGGTGTGTTCGAAACAATTTTCTAAAATTACACTAGATACGAAAGTAAACCTTGTGGAACCTTTACATTTTCAACCAACTGTACCATGTTATACATCTCAGCCTGTTGCATATTGCTACATTTCTCTTAGCTTAATAGCTATTGTGTTCTCTAAGATGGTGCCAGTTTATAAAGTTTGGTCATAGTAGCCTAATGTATTTTCAAAGAAAGTTGCATTTTTTCCCCAAATAATTTTACAGAAAACGTCTTTGGTAAAATTGCTAAGTGAGGAACACAGGCTTACAAATACATCCCCTAGGTATGCCATAAGTTCATAGTGAAGTTCTTTACACTTTCAGGAACACTGAGGCTGCAGTCAGAGCCTACCCTATTTTAGGTACATAGTTTTAATATGCTGAGTAATTTGGTTTCAAAGCTCATAGGAGATGAAAATCTGAAAGTTGAAAGGGGTAAAGAAGTACATAGAATGAGTATAGTAAACATCACAATTGGCAGCCTGAGAATAGGAAAAGAACCCAAGGGGCTATGATAACATACACACGTGTTCAAGTTACATTTGCCTGGGGCCACTGTGGGACCACAGTCTTCTATGCCTCAGTAAACTCTGAGTGTTCACAGGACTGCAAAGTACATAAAGCAAATAAAAATATTCGTAGTTGTGGCCTTGAGACATCAATAAATGTTTAAATTATATTCACTCCACTCTGGTAAAGAATCAAATTGTTATATAATATATTTTATATTTCCTCCATGGAAAACAAAGATTAGAAACATCATTGCTTTAATCAGTATAAATGGTATATAAATCAGAGGTCCTCAGGGTTTAGCTTGGCTCTATCCCTTATTTGCTATGGGACTGTGGACAAACTATGTAACCATTCTGGGTCCCAGTTTCCTCACATATAAATTGGAGCTAACAAGAGATAACAATAGCATCTCCTTAGTAGTGTCATTGAGAGGATAAAGTGACATCATGTTTTTAAAATGTTCAACACAGGTCCTGGCACCTAACAAGTACTTTATAAGTGTTAGGTTTATCATAAGAGGGATAAATCCTTACTATGGGGAAACGTTAGCTATCTAGAAAGTCTTTTTCCTAAACGTTCCAGGAATCCAGACAACTGAAGGTTTATTATACATCAAGTAAAATACCAAAATAAACAAAATAAAATTTCACTAAACAGTGTACAATTTGTCATAACATACAGTATTTCTGCACTCTAATTTAAGAGCTCTTCAATTTTTAATTATATTTAGAACTTCAACTGATCCATGATTGGATAGGTTTTCAGAATTAAATAACTTTACTTGGTTCAGTAATTGGTTCTGATGGTCTGTCTAACATGGTTCAGGATTGTTTCTTTTAAAACAAGGCATGTCATACCATTCTGAATTCCTTATAAATTCTGAATTACCTTGCTGTGACAGTATTTTTTTTATCATGTAGAAAACCAGTCCTTATTCAGCACCAGATAATTAGCTACTTTGCAAATGTCATGACGTTTGAAGCTTAGGCATGATTACTGAGACTTAATCACACTAAAATCCTTCATATACATTCCATTGCATAAGATTGTTGAGTATAAAGTGGAGGTGCAGGGATATAGATGGTGATGTGTCTATGAATAGGTAGGAAATCAGAAGACATTTTGAGGCAGACAGAGAGCACATACACCTTACACAATAAATTTGGTTAAACATAGTCAAAAGAGAAAAACCAGTGAAGACTTGTTACTCAGGTGTCCATCAATATTATATGCAAACGTTCAGTCAGGTATATAATCAGTAACTGTCCTGAATGGCATGTGTATTCATATTTTTATATGTTAAACATATCATTTCTACATTTACTTTTTATTTTTTCCTCTTTTTCTGCAAATAGACCAAAGTTCTCACATTGGGAAACATATTATGGCTACAAAATGTTTAATCATTTTTAAGTGAATTATTTCAAAATTTCTTTGAGAAACAAATAACAGCTACTCTCTTGGAGGTTCTGAAAATTGACTTCAGACGTGGGATGTAGTCCTGTTTAGATATTGAGGATCTAAGCCCAAGGGATCACTTGCAGGTCTCTAATCCCTCATGGATGAATCATGCATTTCCTGTGTATTTCTTGAGTAAATATTAAATCGAAGTAAAGAACTTGTACGTTACGAGAGACTGAATATTTAAGTCGGTGTTTAACACATTATGGAAAACATGTATAAGTCATGGTATAAATGTAAATCCTGGAATGTGGGGCAAAATTTCTCAATTACCTTGTACATATCCAGGAACAACTAGTGAGTCTTCTATTTGTGCATAGTTAGGTACTGGAGGGTGATTGATTCATAGCTTCACCTGTGATTTCAGAAGGCTGAGTATTATTATTTTTATTAATTTAAATACTTCAGGTAAATTCACTATAATAATTCAGAGTAAGGATATCCTAGAACATGATGGCTGTTATTTTGGGCAGTTTATTTGTAACGTTCCATGTCCAAGAATGACTCACTCTTATATTAGGTTGTTTAAATTGGAAAGGTCAAATGACTTAAGCTTCCAAAAATTGGTTTGGCAAATTTCACACTTACTTTCAGCATTGTAGTTCCTTTCACCAAGGTACATGCATGTTAGGGCTCTATGTACAGAGAATTTACAAGGTTAATTAAAGTGTATTGTGCATAACACAGTCGTTTAGTTGGTAGTTCAATATTATGTTTGGCATGTGTGATAACATTGCAGAGTAGATCTGCTGTAACTTTGACTTTGGTATCCTTAGTTAGAAACGACTACTCTGGTAGACACATGCTCCCCAGATAAAATGCCTACTCAGATTCACTGTTAAACAATAAGAAAAATAGTTTCTGCTGAAAACTGTTTCATCCATGGGTTGATAGTCACGGACAGAGTGTGTATAATTGGCAATGTGTATTTAAGTGTTCTACAAAAGCAGAAAAGAAAACTGAATATTGAAGATGATATAGTGTTCCTTTGAAAAAATTGGACAAAATAACAATGAGAAAGCCTGCCAGCACAGTTATAAAGGATTAATTTCCTGGTATTCACATACAGGGCTGATAAATATAGTCTATCTACAACTTCATTATGCATAGTGCTCTTGTCATTCAACGTGTTAGGGAATGAATATGGAGAAGCATAATGACAATGTCATATTGATTTACATAAAAATTTTGTGTGTAGAATAATTATATACACTATCATATGGTATAAATTTGGAAAGATAAATGCTATATGCAGTCACGATTTTAGGAATTATTAATTTTATATATACATACTGATTAACCATTAAGGCATTATACAAAATACTGTGTAAGATGTAACACCTATGAAAAATGTGCCGTGTTCTCTAGATATGTTAAATCTAGTGGATGAGTAACCCATAAACATACCAGAGAAGTATGTAAGGACGTATGAATGGAAACATACACTTGATATTGATAACCAGGAACGTAAACATTTTTTTAAAAGTTTTCTGAAGCCCAGAGAGCAGCAGTTTTCAGGCTGAAGTACATATAAACTAAAGATTCACAGAGACTTCCCAAGGCAGTACATGAGCTTTTGTGGTTTAATGGAAATTAATGTTTATATCCTCAACTTTCATATGTAGTGAAGTTAACATGTGTGAGAATTTGACTATGTTTAAGCCGAAGCTCTTAAGCTAGTTCTCCTTCCTCACTTCCCTTTTCACTATTTCTCTTTCCCTATTTTCTACAGAAAAGCATTCTTCTCATTTTTCTGAAATCTTGCTAAGATGCTTTGTTCGTAGGATGTAAGTGCTAAACAAAAGGAAATTTTAAAATGTGTTAAGAGTGTGAATGAATGTGAATCAAATTACATTTCAGGTCAAGTGGTATCAGTTCTTGGCTCTGATTCAAATTGAAGAAAGACTTACTAAAATTGTCAGTGAATAAAGAAGTAAAAATCACTTTAGTGATAAATTACTCTGTAATTTAGCATATAACTCAAGTTTGAAGAACTTCCACTACTATAGAAAAACTATTTTTATTCCTGCCTAATTATTTATGTAAATAAGATTTTCTGGTGCTTGCATTTATAACAATGAAAACTAGAAAATGAATTGATTTTCAGTGCATAAAAATAAGTTATATCTATCTTAAATGGGAAAAAAGCCTAGCTCATCTCAGTATGACATCAATTTCTAATAAAAATTTTATTTTAATTAAAATAGTTTAAAAATATATATATTTAATTAGGTTTCATGAGTTATTTACTAAAAATAATTATAATAAGAAAATTTAGGAAGACAATTTGCAGGCTTAAAGCATCAAAATTTAAATAAATAAACTATTAAGTTCAATTTCAATATTTGATTACTGCAATATATGATAGATTCATCAATATGAGATGTTCAAACATAAAAAATATAAATCCTTAGCATAATATTTTAAATGGCGAGTTAATTGGAAATATGAACCCAAGGGACAGAAAGCAAACAACATAAAAGTTCTGACTATTAAAGAAGAACTTGATCGTTTATTTTTACATGGATGACATTGAGTTACAAAGCCTTGGAGTATTTAGATTCCATTGGGTGCATTTAGGAATAGTGTAACTGTTTTATTTTAAAATGTCAATTTTAGAATATGTTAGAAATGGCATAATTTTCAATTGTTTACACTCGAGGAAACATTTTACATACCACCTTGAAATATATAAGTCAGTATGTATGAGCTTTAAAAATTATTTTAGAGTGTATATGAGTAATAAAAGTTAGAAATTTACAGATCTAGGCTCATCACTTTATATTACCAGTGAAGAGAGGAAGACCCAGAGCAATTAAGTAAACTCACCAAGGTCATTCCAGCTCTTTGTAGCAGATCCCAACTAGAAGGAAGGGACTATGGAGAATAGAAAGGTTTCAAGAAGTGGGTAATACTTAAGGTAAAATTTTTCTGGGTGAAAATGGCCTCTAGATAGGAGGAGTTTTTGCCTAGGTGTATCATCTCCATCACCACCAAACCACAGAAAATTTCACGTTGCCTAAATTATGAATTTTTGTTGGAATGTATTGGAATGCAAGAGTGCAAAGTTATGTTGGAAGTACATGGTTCAGGCCAAAGATTTTAAATGCTCTTCAGACATTGTATGTGGAGTGAGCTGTGGAATGTTTTTAAGTAGAGTGAAGGAGAAAAGTAGTATGAAGCTACTATAAAACTTATGGATGAACACTATGGTAACATGGTTTTGATCATCTATCCAAATTCTTCTTTCTATAGTATTATGATTATACTAAATAAAAACAATATTTTTAGATGTTGTTGTTTAGTTGTTTGTGTTTCGGGCAGTATCAGGGAAAGAATTTTGATCAAGGTGCTATTTTTATAAAATCAATCAGTTATTACTTTACTTCGCTTTATCTTCCTTCAGATTTTATAGTACATCTAGATCCACTGGTATGGTTCCACTTCCCAATATACATATTTCTCTCTCTCTCTCTCTCCCTCTCTCTCTCTCTCTCTCACACACACACACACACACACACACACACACACCTTTGCTTTTATCTGCTCCCCAGAAGAGCTTTATTTCAGACTATGGGCTTTGTTTTGATGTACAGGCATGGTCGTGCCCATCATTGGCTTTCTCCATGGCTAAGTATCTATGAATCTGTAATATTTTTTAATAATATTATGTTTATTCTGAATAAAAGCAATATATTAATCACACACAAAACTCATTTGTTATACATTACCCATCAAATTTTAAAATAATTGAATTTATGTAATGGGGGAATAGACAGTAATTAATTCTTTTAATAATTTGCAATGAAATGAATAGGATAAGTTTATTGACACAATTAATTTTCTGTCATTTAATTGGAGAAACTATTTACCTGCCATTTCTCTTAATATATGACATTAGTAAGTTATTTATTATACAAAACATTAATGACCCTATTAGACCAAACTCAATTAATGATCACATTTTAGGCATGTTGTTATATTATCTAGTGCTTTCTATATTGTTTGAATACACATCTAAATATGTATGTATCTAAATATGTATGTACCTAAATGAAAACAACCTAGATTTTAGGTAAAACCACTATTTTCTATTAAATACCTAATTTAGAGAGAAAGCAATTTGTTTGCTATTTGCCTTTTTCCTTCTTGCTTCCTTCCCTCATCTAGCTCCTAATTGTGTTGTCACTGCTCTTGTGTGTGTATGTTTGTTTGCGTTTTGGACAATATAGAATAGTGCTTTTCAAACATCATGCAGATGGATAACCTGGTGATCCCGTTAGAAGTGCAGTCCTTAGGTTTGGGGCAGGGCCTGAGATTCTGCCTTTCTAACAAGCTCTCAGGTGATATGAACTTTAGAAGGGAAAAAATAATATCCTTTCCCCACCCATTATAAAGTTTATGGCTGACATGCTGTAGCAAAAACAGATTAACAAGAGGAAATAATACATCTATTTAAACAAAGTTTTATGTGACATGGGAGTCTTCAGAAATGATGACCCAAAGATCCAGGGAAAAGTGTATATTTGTATGCTTCAGTTTGATGAAGAATGGACAGTCATGTAGAAATGGGATTAGAAAGGTTATGATCTAATAATAATGGTTTACTTAACAAGGCTGTTAATGGACAGTTCTTTTTCGTCTTCCTTCTTTCCTCCAAGTGCAGGGCAGGACACCTGTCACACGAAGATCTGAAGGGCAGAAGGGAGGAGAGATTCTTTATGTAACTCACAGGAGAAAGACAGGAGAAGGTCAGAAGGTGCCCTTTCTGCTTGTGCCAAGATGTTATATTTTGGGGTGTCGTGTTCTGAGCCCCAATGGGACCACAGTTTAGTAAGGCTTGAGAGACTAAAATAACACATATTTCCATTTGCTTATAAAAAATTCCTTAAGGAATTTTAATTCACATGTATATATTTAAAGAATGAAGAGCAAAAAAATTGGTGGTTGGGCAAGGAAGACTCATTTCTGGCCAGGCTGATAGATTAGAGGAAGCTTTATTGCTGGGAGGATCTGGAGGCCAGGCTGGCGGAGGCGGGAGCAGCAGGTCTTAAGGTGTGTCTTGTCAGGTGGAACAAACTGGGTGGGAAAGGACAGACTGGTGAAAGGCCTTGACAAACCAATTATGTTGGAAACAGAAAGGTGTCAGAGTCTTCAAATAATTTTTAGGAGAATAGCATGCTTGCTATACATAGGTTCCATGTAAAACAATATAACCATACCTTCTTTTGGAGATATCTTTCTATTTTAGGTTAATGGGGAAATTTAAATACTAGTGGGGCAAGGTGAAGTTTGTAACAATTCAATTTAGGCAAAAATGCCACTTCTTAATTTTATGCCAGATTAAATAATGAAAGGCAATTAATTTTACAATGTGTTATACAAAATGGCCTCTCAAACTTGGTAATATTCAAATAGCCAAGAAGAAATTGAAGTGCTCTATAATTAATCCTAAACTTTGTATTCCTATACTCTAAGCTAGAAGAGACTTAGCTATTTGCCTATCATTCATTGAGGTCATTTCTTGTACCAAAATTAGAAAGATAACAGGCAATGAACTTTCAATTTTATTGAACCGTAGCTGTTAGCTCTCTTTTCTCCCTGTACCTGAATTCATGAATAAGCAGTTTCCTTTTCATGGTGTCAGAAAATGAACTCCTACTTTATATCCAAAAATAGTCAAGTTGAGGCTTTACTAAAATATGGTAATTTTATTTCAGTATGCAAGACCACAGAGATCTCATGTCTAAATACTTACGTTACAAGGTACAGAGACATCTCAGATAACAAAAAGGTTAGAATTTAGGAGAATAGCTTTTTGTCCAGAGTATTTGAAATATATATATATACACGCACATATATATTTTAGCCTATGTCTGAAGATGAATTATTTAGAAAATCAAAGAAATATTAAAAAGAAAAAGTGGAAAGCCTTGTTCATGGGTAACTATTTTTTAGTGTGGAATAGATGCAATAATAATGCCATGAACTGCAATGCTTCCCCCAAGACCTACATTGTCCCCCCACTTTTCTGCCTTTGGCATTGAACTAGTGTGCGTAAATGAGGTTGCTCTTTTTGTCCAGTTGTTAAGGCATGAGCAGCGGGGCTTGCCTTTGGTACTGAGGCTATTCATCAAAGCTTTTAAAAATGTTTTCATTGTTATTGTTGTTGACATGACTTTTTGCTTCTACCTCCCCTGCTGAGCCAGACCCTAAGAACTTTGCACCGGCTGTTGTTTTTTCTCATGTACTGAATTGCTGTTGGTTTGAAGACTGCAAGGGGAGAGTGAAAATTATATCGGTTCCTCAATTGGTGTTGGCTATAGGTCTTGCACAATTTCTAACCAAAGGCTGGAGTATAGTACTAGCCCTCTTTAAGGGAAACGGTGGAAGGCATAACTGAGATAAATGGATGCATTTTGGAGTTTGTCAGCTGGAGTGTATGTTTTACACATATATTCTTATGGAAAAGCTCTGTGGTATGTGATACTTTTGT
Source organism: Homo sapiens (assembly GCF_000001405.40). Taxonomy (NCBI): domain Eukaryota; kingdom Metazoa; phylum Chordata; class Mammalia; order Primates; family Hominidae; genus Homo; species Homo sapiens. The sequence goes on from NC_000003.12 coordinate 89,233,823, forward strand.
AGGTCTATATAATGATGATTTGCTATTTTCCAAGCATCTGTATCAGGTGCTTATAAACCAAATTACTAGTGTCATAGTTAAGTGACTGAGATTTTTCTATTCTCTTATCCTTTGTGAAGGCAGGAAGTATGACCATTTTGGGCTTGCAGTTAAAGTGGGTTTAGTGTGAAAGTAGAATGATTGAAGAAAAACAGCACAAATCTGAGTGGTAAGTCTTCATAGTTACACCTTTTAGAGTTTCACTTCTTGTAAACAAAAGGCAAATAACATAGAGTAGGAATTTAACAAATTATGCCATGAAAGAGAAAAATGCCACTTTGAAGTGATTGTAAATAAAAGATCAATTTAATTATACAGAGCAGTAAGGATGAAATATATAAACAAGAATATAAAATAGAATAGAAATTGCATTATTGAAGTAATTCTACAAAATCATAATATCAACAGAAAGGAGAACTTACTGTTTACTGGAACCAAACATTCTGGTGTTACTCATTTTCCATGTGACAGCTGTTTTCATGTATTTTAATCAATAAAATCTCATAAAGCTCTGCAAAACTGTTTGGAAAACTAATTATTTGAACTACACAGTCATGTACCACAATTAATCTATGTGAATGTTTTTTATTTATATTTCACTGTTTATTTTGGCCAATTTTGTAACTGGGTAATTTTGATGGGTTAAAATTTGAAATCCACATGGACCAATCAAATGTGCTGGTGTCTTCCTTAGTAATGGGGAATATCAATTACATCTAGAGGTGAATTTCAGTAGTGTACTTGAGTTAGGAGATTATGAGGCTTTCCATCATGCTACAGTGTTTGGAGGGGATTTATTTCTTCCTTTCTTCCTTTCCTCCTTTCCTCCTTTCCTTCCTTCTTTCCCCCTTCCCTTCCCTTTTCTTTCCTTCCTTCCTTCTTTCCTTCCCTTCCCTCCCTTCCTTCCTCCCTCTCTCCCTCCCTCCCTCCTTCCTTCCTTCCCTCCTCCTTTCTTTCCTTCCTTTCCTTTCCTTTCTTTCCTTCCTTCCTTCCTCCCTTCTTTCCTTCTCTTCCTTCCTGCCTTCCTCCCTTCTTTCCTTCTCTTCCTTCCTGCCTTCCTTCCCTCCCTTCCTTCCTCCCTCTCTCCCTCCCTCTTTCCCTTCCTCCTTCCTTCCTTCCCTCCTCCTTTCTTTTTTCTCTTTTCTTTTCTTTTCCCTCCCCTTCCCTCCCTCCCTCCCTCCCTCTCTCCCTCTTTCTTTCTTTCTTTATTTCTCTTTTTTGTCTCAATATTTGTAGTTTTAGTAGAGATGGGGTTTCTCCATGTTGGCCAGTCTGGTCTCGAACTCCTGACCTCAGGTGATCCACCCACCTCGACGTCCCAAAGTGCTGGGATTACAGGTGTGAGCCACCCTGCCCAGCCTGGATTTTCTTGACAATAAATGTAATCCTGACACTCACTGATAGATTTGTAGATTTTAAAAATTTTCATTAAAAGTGCATTCTTTTCTTTAATACTGTTTCGACATTCAAATAGATGAAACAAAATGATTTCTAATAACAATCTAGAGATGTGAGCCTAAGATCAGATATATTTTACATAAATATATCAACCCATGTGCCAATTCTTTACTTTCTTAGTATAGCGTCGTAATAAATCTTGATATCTGAAACAGAAAAACTCTCATTCCTGACTTTAATATTATAGATAATTCTTGCCTTTCATTTCTTCATATGCATGTAAGAGTGATGTTATTAAATGCCATGAAAATCTGTATTGAGATTTTTCTTAGAATTCTACAATGTGTAGATAAATTTAGAAAAAAAAGAGTATATTTTCAATATACCATAATTTTTCATGAACATGGTGTATCTATAAACCTATTAAAACTACCCTATTTTTTCATATGTTTTATCATTTCTCTTTTAGGAAACTTGCTGAATTCTTAACACCACAATTTTTATTTATATTAAAATAAAAAATCAGTTTACATATTTTATACATTTTAAGAAAGTAAAAAAAGTTACAAACTGAGAGAAATTATTCTCACACATATAATTGAAAATATATAAAGAATTTCTATGTATTAATAAATAAATAATAAAAAGTGGAGTAAAAGTTATAAAGTAGAATTCCCCCCACAAAGCAAACATATATATTCAATAAACATGGGAAGAAATGTTCCATATCATTAGTGGTCAGTGACATACCAGTCAAGTCAAGAAAGCAATGAATTACAATTTTAAACTGTTTCATTGTGAATATATACATTTGTTTATTTTAGATATTTCAAGGATTGAAGAAGATGTGATTTTTACATCTTCCATCTAAATTTAATATAAATTGTAGGAATATAAATGTTTTAACTACTTTAGGAATCTGTTTGACATTATCATCTTGAGTAAACTAAGCCTTTCTTCTCCTAAATATATACCCCCCAAAAAACCCTTGCATATGTTTAGCAAGGTATATTTTCATAAAGCACTATTAAAACTATATAAGATCTCAAAATAATACAAATATTATTAAAAAGAGAGTAAATGAATAAAAGGTGGTATGTTAATACAATGAATTACTACACTACAATCAAGATTAATAACAAATGACATTAAAACTGTGTACGAAATTTAGCAATATAGTATTAAGTAAAACAATCAAGATTAATAACAAATGACATTAAAACTGTGTACGAAATTTAGCAATATAGTATTAAGTAAAGAGTAAGTCCTTATGAGAACACATGGACACAGGAAGGGGAACATCACACTCTGGGGACTGTTGTGGGGTGGGGGGAGGGGGGAGGGATAGCATTGGGAGATATACCTAATGCTAGAGGACGAGTTAGTGGGTGCAGCGCACCAGCATGGCACATGTATACATATGTAACTAACCTGCGCATTGTGCACATGTACCCTAAAACTTAAAGTATAATTGAAAAAAAAGAGTAAGTCCTTAAATTCACATCTATAATAGTAATTTTTTTAAATAAAATTAAAGAAAGCTACATTTTTTTATATCTAAAAGCAAAATTACCATGTAAACGTGACTTAGAATATCAATAGCCCAGTGTGTAGGGAGACAGGGATGAAGTGAGGAAGACAATATGATTAGATGCATGTAGTTGTTATCAAGTGTACATTCTGCATGATAGATTTACAGATACTTATTGCAGTACTGAATGAATGTAATTATGAATCAATGAATCAATGCATGGATCGAATGGATAAATGAATGCATGGATTGATAATTGAACAAATATGTAAACAAATACATAAATATAAGCCAGACATGGTGACTCATGCCTGTAATCCCAGCACTTTGGGAGGCCAAGGCGGTTGGATCACTTGAGGCCACGAGTTCAAGACCAGCCTGGCCAACAGGCCAACAGGGCAAAACCCTGTCTCTACTAAAAATACACAAAAATCAACCTGGTGTGATGGTGCGTGCCTGTAATCCCAGGTGCTCAGGAGGCTGAGGCATGAGAATCGCTCGAACCAAGAGGCAGAGGCTGCAATGAGCCGAGATGGTGCCACTGCACCTCAGCCTGGGTGACAAAGCGAGATTCTGACTCAAAACAAAACAAAACATAAATATATAAATAACGGCCATACATGAGCCAATTTCACAAACCAAGGATTATGATTAATGTAGTTCTGTGAATTTAGTTTCAATAGAAATAGAGATATCCATAATTGTCACAAAATGTTACTTTTTGTTGACTTTTCATTTTTTCCTAAGAGTTTCTGCCCTATGATTTCAACTGACTTGTATAAAAAGTTAGTTGGTGGTGGATGTGTACTGTTGATATCCAAGAATAACTTTTATCTGTTTTGTTAAGTCGTGGCCAATTTTTCAGTTTGTAATGTTATGTTAGATGAGGAATGGGCTGGGTGCCATGGCTCACACCTATAATTCCAGCTCTTTTGGAGGCCAAGGCAGGAGGATTGCTTGAAGCCAGGAATTCAAGGGCAGCCTGGGCAACAAAGCAAGATCCTTTCTCTACAAAAAATAAAACAAAATTTAAAAAAAATTAGCTGGGCATGGTGGTAAATTCCTGTAGCCCTAGCTACTTGCAAGACTGAGGTGGGAGGATTGCTAGAGCTCAGAAGTTTCAGGATGAAGTTAGCTATGATTGCACCACTGCACTCCAGCCTGGGCTACAGAGTGAGACCATGTCTCAGGAAAAAAAAAAAAAAAGAGGATATGACTTTTACACTTAAAACCCTACATGAAGAGAAAAGATCAATTGGCTCTCAGTATATTAATGTCGAATTCCAAGGCAGAATTTTTCTTGCTGGGACATTTTAGAGAACAGCAATGATAACATGCAGGACAATCTTTAAATAACGGGTATTCACTATTCACCAGTATGTTGATTATTTTCTCAAACATTAAGAAAAGTATATTTTTAAGGGGAGGTAATTACGCAGTATGGGGTAGCCAGATGGATATGTGAAAATAATTTCTATTCACTTTGGTAGTTGGTTCAACATGCTCTGCCAAAAACCAACACAAAAATATTATATAATCATCTCATCAAGTAACAATAGAGAATTTGGAGACTTAAAAAATTTTATTTTGCTAGTAGCTTGAAATCTCATAGAGGTATGTGAGCCCAATTTTGAATCTGATAATTGAATTTTTTTCTAAAGATTTCAATATTGTATTTTATGCCTCTGCTGTTAGAACCACAGTTAAGTCAGTTCCAGCATGAAGAAACTATTCTTCTTTAACCACAGTTCTAAACTCAATTCTTGAGTTTAACATCTCTTACTTTAGGAAAGTATTTCATTTTACTGTTTTTAAAATGTGGATAATTGTCATTTATGACGATTTACCTGTAACCAATGTAGGTTTCGGGAAACACTGTTGCCCAGGAAAATATGTTAAATAGTGGCCTAAAATATGGAATTGATCTTATTTTCTTTAGAGTGTTGTTAACCTTAACAAATCACTTACTTCATTTCCATAACTTTAAATGCCAAATACTTGTAAAACAATAGCAAATATTTAAAATTAAACTACTCATAGTGTTTATAATAAACTATACTGTGGACTTGATTATATTTTAGGGGGAAAGAAAGCTTTCTAAGAGTTATTTGGTATCCATGAATCTACCCTTTATTAATCTCAGAAACAGAAACCTATTGTATTCTGTCTCAAACAGCTAGGTTTATATTAGGTTAAAAAAGTCATACTCAGCATGGTATAAATACATCTTAAATTTGGCCACATTCCCATGCTCAAGAATATGACGTAAGAAGTCACACAGTATGCGAGAGTGATTAAACATCTTTAATCTTTGGTCCTTCTAGGCTTTGTAGCTCAAAGTCAAAAAGAAAGCCCATATGATCTATCTCTAACTGTATACACTGCACTATGGAATATCAAAAGCAGTCAGTCCTCACTCAAAGAAGATTGCACTGCTCAAAGTAAATGCTGTCTTACCATGAGTTTTATTGCTGAAAGCAATTCATGTAAATAAAATGAGGATAAAGCAACACAGGAATATTTCACCAGTGATTTCATTTCTTTCCACATTTCAAAATAACAGTTGTATAATTTGGATAATTCCTCTAATTCCTACTGATTTAAGGAAATAGCCCAGCCAAGCCAACAGAATAATAATGACAATAATAATAATAATAATAAATCTTACATCTTAGGGATATTATATCTTGCTGCTGGTGCTGTAAATTTTAAAACCAAAGCCACTATTTGTGCAGTATATATTTTAACATGACAATAAAATATTAAGTTTTGAATGAAGTAAATGGGAATTCATAGTAGCATTTTAAAAAATCAACTAGGCTTTCTGAACTTGTAACTCAGGATTACAGATATAAACACATCACAGACATTTATCACCACTATTCTTCTCTTTTATGACCTTTTGAAAAGAACATAATTTCTCAAAAAAATATTTTTCAGTAATCTCTGCACAAGATAATTTGCCCTTTTTCTAATCTTCAAAGTGACAGATTGCATAGGTTGAGCCTTTCTGACTTACATCACAGAGAGTTTCATGTTTCAGTATGCTTTCCTGTCTCACTGGCTGACTTGATTGATAATAGTTGAGGTAGTGCAAAATTAAAAATTAATTAATTTGAGTGAATTGGTAATAAAGAGGACTGAGCAGTTGTATTGAGATGCTAATAGGTCTATTCCAGACCTATTCTAGCCATCTGATCCTCTGGAATAGCCAACAGCTGTGGTAGGCAAAACTGACAACTGAGCACATTCAAGGGTAAGGGTCAAGAGTTTGTCATCTAACCCCAGTGGGGCCAAAGCAGGGGCTGTTCTTCCCAAGACTCTAGTTCTGGGACAAAAGCAGGTCGCATGGTTGAAATAATACATTTGTATGGCATTACTAGAAAATATTTTTATAAAATAATAATATAGTCTCAGATGATGATTTTCTGTTTTGTTTTTTGTGTTTGCTTGTGAATTAGAACTTTCTGAGCAAATTTCTGTAAGTCCTCCAGTAACTATAATGCCTGCTTCATTCACTATTTTATCGGGAAAAAGCATAATTAATGCAATTAAGACTAGTAGAAAAATACTTGACTGGTATTTTGCTATACATATAGTGTTATGCACATATTTATACCAGCCTAAAATGCAATACATTTGTATTATTTTAAAGGATGAAAGGCAGTTAATTAAGAAAATTACATTTCATGACACATATAATAAAGAATATTCTTTATTTTATGATAGTCAAATATTTCAACTATCCAGTAAACCAGTAAAGTAGGAGGTTTTTATATCTATCACAAAACTAATATATAGTGTGTATATTTTTTATAATTATGCAGATAGTACCCATTCATTTATGAGATTTTTAATAAAAATTCAGAATATTTTTAGAAAATAAAAACCATTCGCATTCTAGTTAAAATTATGATTTTTTTGTCTATCTAACTAAACTATAGAAAAATAATATTAAAGCAGAAGAAATTATGGACAATTTGTTACCAATAAAAATAACAGAAAGCACAACTGATTTAGGTTATGAAGATGGATAAGCTGATTTGAGACAATTGAGTTCAATAATTATTATAGAGTAAACTCTGAGAAACAAAATTTTAAATTGAAATGTTAAATTCAGAGATGAATAAAATAACACAGTACATCTTGAAAATTAAGGACATGGATTAAAATAATCAAATGAAATGTTTAATTTTTACTTTATAAACGTATAATTTATCTTTTAAAAAAATTTTTTTTTTCATTTACCTGAAGAACACATTATATACCTTGTAGCTTCCTAGAGATAGTGTCACCAGCCTGTTAATTTGAAGCAGTCAAATATCTAATATAAACATTAAAAAAACACCAGTCATTGCATAATAATATACTTTTTAATGTCTCTCCTATTTGATTTCTTTTTGTTTTTCCTTAGGAAGAATAAGAAAAAGATGATTAGCTATTTTACTCGAAACCCAATTACCTCCACGTGTCTGGTGGGAATTTTCACACCACACACCAATCAGTAAATCAGCCAATCAGTGTTGACCTACTGTAGCTAAATATTAGGTATTTGAAAACTGATTGGCATTTGCCACTGACTGAATGCATTCAGCTAAAATTTACTATAGTGGTGGTGATGATTTTCTTATATTTTAGCAATCTTGAAATAACTATTTCTATTACATCTACTAACAACGCCAATAATGATAACATTTCTACTATTGTGTATATTAAGACTATTATACCTGCTTATTAATTCCACTACCATTACTAATACATAGCATTTATTGGGCTCTTTGTGACAGGCATTGTTCATTTGTATAGTAGTGTATTTAATCCTCATAACAACTCTCATTGACAAATACCATTATTTTCTCCATTTTAAAAATGAGAAAATCTAGATGGTTTATCAGTCAGTTTCTTTTATCACCCCCCTGCATGATTTTAAGAGAATGCAACGTACATTCTTTGTTTCTCATCTGAATAGTCTATTATTTCTTGGAACACAACTAAATTAAAATACAGTATATTTCAGGTTTTTGAAACAGAAGATTAAAAGAAAACATATTTTAAGAAATAAACTAATTGTTTTTTCCAATGATAGTTTAACTTTATCCCCCTCTCAGCCCCGAGATTAAGGGATCATCAAGCAGATTTATAAAACCTCAAGCCTTAAGCTTATATTGATAGGAAGGTAAATAAAATTATACTTCTCTGCATCAGAAAACAAGATTAAATTGTCCTTTAGTGCAATAAAATGCTGATCTCAAACCTAGGTTGATTCTTTTAAGGTGCTTTCTAATCAATGAGGATATGAAAGGAAATACACGGTTGGCAGAGTTGGGAATCCAACTCAAAATCTAAAGAAGACGATCTTTGTCTAATTGCTACAAATGATTGTAATATGAGCTGCTGAGTTTTAAAGTGATTCAAGTCAAGAACTGTAATTCTACAGAGACAATCATTCCCACTGCAGGTTAAAATCCATAGACCATTTCCATTAAAAATAATTAGCAATCATGTCTTGGGAGATACACATTGATAAGAATGTTTCAAATAACTTTAGAATGACTGTAAGTTTCAGTGTGAATACAATGTCCAAGTGTGCACTGCAACATAATGTTTTAGTATTTTCTTTTTTGTTGTTGTTTTTGTTTTGTGTTTGTTTGTTTGTTTGTTTTTTGAGACGGAGTCTCACTCTGTCGCCCAGGCTGCAGTGCAGTGGCATGATCTCGGCTCACTGCAAGCTCCGCCTCCCGGGTTCACACCATTCTCCTGCCTCAGCCTCCCCAGCAGCTGGGACTACGGGCGCCCACCACCACACCTGGCTAATTTTTTGTATTTTTAGTAGAGATGGGGTTTCACCATGTTAGCCAGGATGGTCTCGATCTCCTGACCTTGTGATCTGCCTGCCTCAGCCTCCCAAAGTGCTGGGATTACAGGCTTGAGCCACTGTGCCTGGCCTAGTATTTTCTTTCTTTCTTTTATTTTTTTATTATACTTTAAGTTTTAGGGTACATGTGCACAACGTGCAGGTTAGTTACATATGTATACATGTGCCATGTTGGTGTGCTGCACCCATTAACTCGTCATTTAACGTTTGGTATATCTCCTATTGCTATCCCTCCCCCCTCCCCCCACCCCACAACAGGCCCCGGTGTGTGATGTTCCCCTTCCTGTGTCCATGTGTTCTCATTGTTCAATTCCCACCTATAAGTAAGAACATGCGGTGTTTGGTTTTCTGTCTTTGTGATAATTTGCTGAGAATGATGGTTTCCAGCTTCATCCATGTCCCTACAAAGGACATGAACTCATCATTTTTTATGGCTGCATAGTATTCCATGGTGTATATGTGCCATATTTTCTTAATCCATTCTATCATTGATGGACATTTGGGTTGGTTCCAAGTCTTTGCTATTGTGAATAGTGCCGCGATAAACATATGTGTGCATGTTTCTTTATAGCAGCATGATATATAATCCTCTGGGTATATACGCAGTAATGGGATTGCTGGGTCAAATGGTATTTCTAGTTCTAGATCCCTGAGGAATCTCCACACTGACTTCCACAATGGTTGAACTAGTTTACAGTCCCACCAACAGTGTAAAAGTGTTCCTATTTCTCCACATCCTCTCTAGCACCTGTTGTTTCCTGACTTTTTAATGATCGCCATTCTAACTGGTGTGAGATGGTATCTCATTGTGGTTTTGATTTGCATTTCTCTGATGGCCAGTGATGATGAGCATTTTTTCATGTGTCTTTTGGCTGCATAAATATCTTCTTTTGAGAAGTGTCTGTTCATATCGTTTGCCCACTTTTTGATGGGGTTGTTGGTTTTTTTCTTGTAAATTTGTTTGTGTTCATTGTAGCCCTTTGTCAGAGGAGTAGCCCTTCGTCAGATGAGTAGATTGCAAAAATTTTCTCCCATTCTGTAGGTTGCGTGTTCACTCTGAGAGTAGTTTCTTTTGCTGTGCAGAAGCTCTTTAGCCTAGTATTTTCTTTATAATTTTTGTCTTCTTTAGTTAATGCTTAAAACACTTGAACTGGTGGAGTTCTTAAAGCCATTTGGTGAGACATTATGTAAACGTTATCCCACTGCCAGGACTCATTTATCTTACCACTTGTTCTTTTACACCATCCTATACACTTTATTTAGTGAAGTACAAAAATATTTCCACTCAGGAAAAAAATAAAGCCCCTCACTTTGATATTGTCTCCCCTATTACTTCTGACAATACTTATATTTATAATTTACAAATATGGTGCTGTGACTTGTCTTAGGAATTTGATTATTTAAAAATATGAAAATATGGCCCTTACACATCATTTTACATTTGTGTAATACTAATTTTATGTGACATTATTGATACACAAACTGTAATTCTGAAAAAATATTATTGGGGGAAATTGGCTCATAATAAAATATTTTTATGAAAATCAAACAGATTTTTAAGCCAATAAAATAGCTAGGTTACCAGGAATATTAATTTTTAGAAAATCTGAATGAAAGTATCTTTGTTATATTTTGTTTATGTTGCTTATGTGTTTAAACTTTTATCACACTGAAATATATGCTAATATCTAAAAATTTTAAGTAGTAAGATTTCTAAAATGATATGAGCTAATAGTATTCACATGGTTACATATTTCTGTACATCCAACATATTTAAATTTTTTCCAGTTAAAAAAAGATGAGTACCTTAAAAAATGTTTTATACTATCCATTAAATTTTTGAAGCCAATGTATTTATATTATTTTTCTGTATTTCTGTAATTCATACCAAAGTATGAATTTAGTAATTATAAACTTTGAATAGTAGTATTTTCATGAATATGAATATGAGAAAAGAAGTATTATAGAAAATACAAAGAAATATTTTAAATTAGCTCTACTTCCTATATTAAAATATTATTTCAGCCACTGTGGTAGTAATACCAGTAATAGCGATGTGGATATGCAGCTTTATCAGTGGCTATAATGTGAACATTTCTTCAGCTATATGCCACACAGTTGAATGATCCAATTGCAGGTCTGGGCTTTTCAATTTTGCCAAATTCTGGCTATTGTATTAAGCATTGGTTTCGGAAATGAAGTGACACATTTTCCTATGAAAATGCAATTGAGCAGATTGTTCTGGGCAAAGTTCAATTGCAGTTAACCCTGCAGATGAACAGTTACGCTCTCATTATTCAGTGTCACTCAGGTCAATCTGAATTATTAAAGTGTATTGCAGAAAGGGTAAGTATTGTTGGCCATTCTTGAAGAAACATTTAAAAAAATTACCAAACCAGCGGTTTGTTTGCAATGGTTTTGATTCACTTTCATTTTATTGTTTCTTAAAGATAAATAGCACAGATCATGCCTATCCAGAAATAATTAGTACATACATGGTCTTTTTTGAACAACTTTGAGTTACTTTAAAGATTTATGTACTCTTTATGTCCTTATTTTAAAAGATAAATTTAAGGCTAGTATAGAATATTGTTAAATTCTAGAATTCTAGAATATCCAGTTATATAGTTATTTGAAGAATACTTGAAGGAACAAGAGTAGAAAATAGTAAGATATATCAGTGATTTGTTTTTCTTTTAATGCATTTCACAGTTAATAATCTTCAAAAAGCATTACGCTATTTTCATGTCTGTATACTAATCAAACCTTATGATATGGTTTTATATAACTTGTAATTGATGAATATTATAAACATGAAAAACAATATTATGCCTTGCCAAATAAGTTATTTTCAGCTTGATTTCATAAAAAGAGAAAGAGAAATTTAAAGATTCCTTATGTTGATTGTTCTGGTGAGATAGAGCAAATATAGAAATCTGTTGGACTCCCATCATTGTGAAAAATCCTACTGCAATGGGCAAGATTAATTTGTAACACTTTCTCTGAAGTGCGAATTAAATCTGATGTTTCATGATGATCTGTAGTCCATGTGGATGCCTGTGTACATTATAGACCTGGCCATCCAGCTGGCATCTACTGTTATCAGAGTGCTAGCCCTGGCTGGTTAAATGGATTTTGCCTCAGGTTAAAAGCCTTTAGGGAAGTGGGTCAAATTGTACAAGGACAGCTTTTCTAATTCCTTGCTTGTGATGTAAAGGTAAGAGGATAATAAGGTTACGTAAAGCCCTGCAATATACAAGCTCATTTAGAAATACTCACATGGAGAATCTCAAGAGAATAAATTAGATCCACAGTTGGGTTTTGCAAAAAGTCATTTACTGAAATGGTAGACAAGTTCCTCTTTAATTTTTTTTTCATATTGTATGACTCTCTTACGCTCAATTTAAACAATAGGAATGCTGACTATTCAAAGGGAAATCCACTGAGATAGTGACTTATATTTCACATATGATATGTGATAGTTAAAATTATGCCACCTTCTGCATTTTAGATTATGTGATTCTGAAGATTGCAGCATGTGTGATAAATATCACACTTCCAGTGCAGTATGGAAACTTGAAGTTTATATTTTATTTATAACAGAATTTAGTGTTTTAGGCACTCAAAGGCTGAGAGAAATCCTCCCAGGAAAGAATAAATAAACACTTAGAAATCACTGAATCCCACAGTTAATTGTTTATTTGATATGTTTCCATTTTGAGAAAAAGTAAGTTTAAAAAGTTATTTATTTGGAAGATAGAATAACATTTTGATGGGTCTCACAACACTTTAACATGACATAGGACACAGCTGTCTGTACCAGGATCCTCTACTGAATAGGTCTGGCCCCCTGCTGGCCTAACTCTTTGACCCTCCCACTAGGTTGTGTCAAAGAGCTTGCAAGGGACACAATGAAGTTGCCATCATTCCCATGGGCAATGGCAGTTCAATTATTTTACATGTGAATATATCGAATATCAATTGCTACTCTGCCCTTTATATGATACAGTGGACATACTTTCAATAACTTTTCTTTGATAGAAATATGTATAATAGCTAAGGGAATGAAATATGAGTTGTTGTAAGAAGAATTCCAGGCTTTTCAGATATTCATTGCTAACATTTACATTATTTAAATCTTTTTTTTTATTTTGCTCCTTATTACTGTTGAAATAATCTGGAAGTAAGGTTGGTTTAATGTCCTTTGGAGCAGTAGATTTTCCTGCTGGACAATTTCAAATTGAAGTTCTTGTCCTTGAGTTCTTACTGATGCTTTATACAGAACAAGAGCAAATGTTAGCATATAGCATGTAGCATGTAGTGCCTGTGGTCTTTACTGACTCAGTCTCCTGATAAGAGTCTTCAGTACCATTCAACGAGTACTTCTTGAGCATCTACTCTTTGTCCATGTTTTTCTAGATACCGGGAATAATTAGAAAGATAAGTAAATCCCAGTCATCATTACCAAAAAGTCCTAGTTTGGGAGATAAAGAATAGGGAGAAGACAAATAAAGTAAATCATTTCAGGGCAATACTGTAGAGATATACAGACTCCATCCTCTGAGACTGGGAAAGATCCAGCTCAAGTTGAGGGGATGGGGAATAATTCTAAAAAGCAGATAAACTTAAGGCCATACTTAAATAATTAATAGAAAATAATCAGGCACATAAAAGGTGAAAATGGATAAATGAATCTTAAATAATATCATGGCAAAGTTCTGAAGGTAATAATAAGGTTTAAGCAAGGGAAGTATTTGGTATTGCTGAAACATAAATTGTGAGGGATTCAAGAACAGAAAATGTTATCTGGAGCTTTAACTTTATTTATGTGTTGTCAGTTCAAGAAATTGTGATGGGTTTATCTAGACTAGTTTTATAAACCTGTAAAGAAAGAAGCAGAACCCAAAAGTACATAGGATTTGAAGACCATGGAAACAGGTTACTTGGAAAAAGAAGTCTAGGTAATGCTGTTTTCTGATCATAGGAAATATGAGGCAAAAACTAGATTGTGAAAAAAGTGATGAGTTCAGTTTTGGGTATTTTGTGGCCAAAGTCATTGTGGGACATCCAAGTATAATAATTCAGCAAACGAAATTTGAGTCTAAATTTTATTGTAAAAGATATGATTGACATGCAGATTTATGATCTTCATTGATAACATAGACACTGCTAAAAATCTAGAGAGTGGATGAAATTGTCTATAGAGACTAAAAAAAGTAGAGACAGTGCTGATGTAAGGACCTTGGGCAATGCAGATGCTTAAAAGAATTTTCACTTCCTTGATGTTCTTTGTCTATTGTTTATGATACATATATTTAATTTACCCTTTCTACTTGTCCCTCTGTTAATGAATACACCTGCATTCTCCCAATTAAAAACAAAACCCCAAATATTTTCTCAATATATCAAGTCACCTTACTATTTATCTCATTTCCTTAATCTAGACTAATAAGGCAATCAATCTAATCATTTCCTTAAATGCGCTGCAACATCTACTGCCTGCACTTTTTCACCATGAAATCCATGCCCATTTTTCTTTCTGGCACTGTATGAAAATGTTGTTCCTGGAGTTTATAGCATGAGACCTCCACGTTACCAGACAGATGATGATTTTTCTCAACTCATCTTTCCTGAGCTATCTGCAGCAAGTGCTCTGTTGATCACTAGACTCATTCTAAAACGTCTGACTTCCTGCAACTCAGGGATTTATCACTCTTGGTTGCCTTTTAATCCCCACAATTTGGGTCAACCTAGCTATTTTCTCCAGTTGAAGACATAAGTGCCCAGTTGCCAGAACTTTGTCTTCATTTTTATTTCTCTTCGGCTAATATTTAATATCGTGAATTCTTTAAAATATCTTTAGCAGCTGAAATGCATTTCGGTGTAGTAATAGATACACTTAGTTGAACTGGCATAAACACTGTATATAATGAATATAACATTACATCTCAGGAAGTCCAAATGATAGAAGTGTTTATACGATAGTCAACCAGATTATTCCTGTTATGCTATAATCCCTGCAGCTTCATCATTGGTGACTGGCAGGAATTTGGTTGTGGCAATTCCAGGCATTATATCCAGAAAAAGGGAGATTGTCTTTCTAGGTAATCCTACTAATGAATGTGCAGATTTGGAAAAGAATCACTTTGCTTCTACATAAATTCATGTTCTTTAAAGGACAAAATGAAAAACCATGTGCACAGGTCCATAACACACAGCATACTTCAAATTCTTCTGAACAGAGAGAATAAGGAAGTCTTGTTCTTACATGAAATTAAGTACTTTTTAATCCTATGTGTCAGTCCTCATGTGGCAGAGATTTTAATCTGCACCAAAAATCTATTTGCAATCTCCTTTTCCCAGTATCCCTTGCAGTTATATTTGGGTCCAGAGGGTAGTTCTTACCAATGAGCTGTGAGTAAAAGTGACTAATGCCACTTTTGGGTGGAAGAAGTTAAGAATTGTGTTGCTTCTTCATTTGCCTATTGCCTTTGCCATGGAGAGCTTTTGTTCTTGAAACAATCTTCCTCATTCATTAATTCTTCAAAGGCCCTGGTTTTGTCTCCTTCCTCATTATTTTATAAGAGCACATGGGATATGAGTGGTCCTGGCATTGAGAAGCTTTGACATCTCACTTCCTCTTGTTTCCTGTTTGGGCTTTAATTTCTTTACATATTGAACGGCGGTGACATTTTAATTTTTGCTAAATTCATGGTTTCTTTGTTAGTACAGTTTCATTCATCGTTATTAGCTTCTGATCAAGCAGTTGTTTAGATTTATTTTTTATTTTTTATTAGTATTAGTAGTGATTTTGAGACAGGGTCTGGCTCTGGCACCCAGGCTTGAATGCAGTGGCACAATCTCTGCTCACTGCAACCTCCACCTCCTGGGCTCGAGCAATTCCCCCGCCTCAGCCTCCCTAGTAGCTGGGACTACAGTCGTATGCCACCATGCCCTGCTAATTTTTGTATTTTTTGTAGAGACGAGGTTTCACCACATTGCCCTCACTGGCCTCAAACTCCTGAGTACAAGCAATCTGCCTGCCTCAGCCTCCCGAAGTTCTGGGATTACAGGCAGTTGTAGCCTTTAAACTAAGCATTTCTTATAGTGATAAGTTTTTGCTGTTTCTATATCTCAGGATAATAACATCTGTTTTGACATAATTCAAATAAAAAATAATTGTTTCCTGGCCAACATGTTGCCATTTCTTACTATAACAACCACAAGATTCACCCAACATTCACTCTAATGCTACAATTCTGATAGATACACAATTAATATCTTTATATATTATGGAAAATGCCAGAGCCGAATGCTTGTAAAAAATGTTACATCACCAGACTTACTAGCTTCCTAACCAAAAAATGTGGGGTCCTCCTGTTTTGTGATGGATCTTTTCACCTGGACAATTTCCAGTTTTAAAGTTCTTTTAATTGAAGTTCCACATTTCTAGTATACATTCCTGAATAAGGACGGTCACTTTTGATTTAAATCCAGGAAGGTTAACTGATGTCATACAAAAATCAAAGTCAACATTCTCCTTATCAAATCAGCTTCTCTGAGCCACTTTCCTCTATTAGCAAAGCTTCTTTATTTCTTGAGTGGAATCATGGAAACTTTATCAACAAATATGCCTATGCATTTACTCAGTTGCTTCTTTCCATCATATTTATTGCCCTTTTCCCATATCTTCCATCCTGTTTCAGGATTTCAGTAATTTTATCATGTAACATCAAGGTATTGCTATTTTGTTTTCTGTCTCATGTCATCGTACCTTTATCTACCCTATTATCACCTGCAAAATTAATCTTCCTAATTTGTTGTTCTAGTCATGTTACTTTCTTAATTAAGTCTTCATTCTATAATATACCAAATTCTTAAACTTGGTTATCCAGAATCCAATCTTGGTTACTTTCTGTTCTTATCCCCACTGCTACCCTGTGCTGACCTAATACCTAAACCAAACTGGAAATGCCTGAGTTCAACAAACTGGATGTAATAACTACATCAGAATTTCCTTAAAAGGCTCAAACTTATGGCATCACTGCCCATTAGCAAGATCCTTTTCTACTAATCTCTTTCTTGAAATGGCTTCTGGATGTAAAATCCTGCCATATATTTTTAAAGTATTTTATGTCTAATAGCATTTACATACGAAGCCCCAACTGATCACTGTAACTAGGTAAAATTTATTTCCCCTTAATGAATGCTTGGTGATATCTTTCTATAAGACTGTAAACTTCACAAGCAGCATTAGTCATGTGTGTCCAAGTAAGCTCTGCAGCCCTTCTCAAGAGGCTGTGTAATTAGAAAGGATTAACATCTTTCATGGAACTGCTAGAAACATTAGATATGGAATTATTTCTCTGAGACTATGAAATAAAAGGTTTAGCCTTAGATCAAAGCAGTCAGGCATATAGAATAATGTATAATGATTTTGCCCTTGAAAATTTAGAAGTCTTGACAGGTTTAATAACCAATGTTCTTCTGGAGATACTTTTATCAAACTACTAGGGTTTTTTGGTTTGTTTTTTTAAAATCAGAATCTTCCAGAATAAAAAACAAACTAGAAAAACAAGATAAGAGAAAAACAAATAAACCCTCTTGAATATAAATCTGTGGGAAATCACCTACCTGGGGGATTTTTTAAATCTTTCCAATAGATTATAATTTTTTTAAAAGAGGAGATTAATATAATAACTTATAGAAAGTGATAAATGTATCAATCACAGTAACAATTCTGGGCCAAATAAATTTATCATATATAAATTGAAAATGATATGTGGGAAAGATCACTCAAATTTATGAAAGCATAGTATGTGTTAGATATGTTTTGCATAATATTGCAACCCTGAAGGAAGTGGCTATTAATCTAATTAATAGAGATAGAAACCACAGTCAGTAAAAGCTACAACTCTAATTTAAATATGAATCAATCTGATTACTAAGCCCCTGCTCTTTCAACTATCATATGATTATAAAGATAAAATATATTAAGTAATCAAGTGCAATTCACAATAATATTCAAATATCATTTTTATTTCATAACAATTTAAATTTTTGTTAATTTTTCTAATCCATTGGCATGTCTTGCTTTACTCCTAGGATGTGTTCCAAGAAATTGTGTGTAGAAAAAAAAATCAGATTGATTAGCATCACAGCCATACATTCGATTTAATAGAAAAATATAATGAGGCATTTTACCATTCCAAGTATTTCAGGCCATCTCTATTTTAAAGTATGTTTTGTATGTTTATTGTTAATTGCTGTATTTTGTTTTATTTTACTTTTTAAATGGAACAAGCATGGATAAAAGTAATTATGGTATATACAACCTAAGAGAAATAAAATTATGAATTATTACTACGAGTCTTAGTTTCTATAGATCTTCTACTCAGGAATAATAAATTATAAAGGAAAAACATGTCACAGTTATAGGAACATTTCTTTTAAAAAGAAATATGAAATATTTTCAGAGTAAATGTGATTCCATACACTTCTTATACTGCAAACCATTTCCAAATTTCCACATATGCTTGCCAAAACCAATGATAATTAATGTTTCATTGAATTCTTTGAGAAATGTTGAATTCCACGACTGGTTTGGACCATATTTAAACATATATTATGCTGGACTAAATTCCAGAATCAGAGAGAATATTTTATATTTTTTGGCTATTTGTGTTAAGAAAAATTCTCAAGTGGAGTACGGACGTAAAATAGATTTGGTATAAAAACAATCCATATTCTATTTACTAGTTGCTTCTTCAGCATTTAAGAAACTATTTGGGGCCAGATACAGTGGCTCATGCCTGTAATCCCAACACTTTAGGAGGATGAGGATCTCTTACCCCAGGGGTTCAAAACTGGCCTGGGCAACACAGGGAGATTCCATCTCTACAAAAATTTAAAAAATTAGTCAGGCATGGTGGTGCATGCCTGTAGTCCCAGCTACTGTGGAGGTTGAGGTGGGAGGATCTCTTGAGCCCAGGAAGTCAAAGGGGCAGTTCACTGTGATTATGCCACTGTACTCCATTGAAACATTAACCTTTTTCTCCATTCATATTTTTAAAATATTATTCAAGTTTTTCATGCTCTTATCTTAAGAGATGTCAACATCAGATACAATATGATTTGCAGGGAGTTTATTGTTCATTAAGATTTTTAATTTATATATATAATTTTTATATACATTATACTTAATATAATATATGATATTTCTTATTTAATGGAATAGTATAAAAGATCAAAATAGTTTAGGCAAAACATTGTCTGAATTTAGGTTCTTTAATTGGTTTACTTTAAACTTGCTTTACTTCTCTCTGCCCCCAACTTAGTCATTCTCCATTGCCAGAGGCTGTTTAGTTATTCCGAGCAATAGAGAAAGATTTATGCATTGACAAGTGGGGAGGTGAAACGCTGGTTAAAAGAGTTCTGCAAATGATACTTCTGATCCCAGCAGGAGTTATAGGCTTACAGTTTTTCAAAAAAAGCAAAGTTTTCCCTGTTAATAACTGTAAATTATATACTATAATATTTTATACCTTTTTTCTTTTTCCAATGACTAACTATACCTCACTTTAGGGATAAAATCCCTCAAGTGCATGACAGAGATGAATACAATATGTTTATATTTGGGAAACTCTTGAGATTTTCTTTGAAAAGAATGGATTTATGAGATTGAAAGACACACACAATTCATACTCACACCATGCCCTCCTCCCACCTCAAAGTTACATGTTCTTTTACAATAAAAGAACAAAAGTTCTCAAAAACATACATGGCTTAAGGCAGTCTTTAAGCATTAGAGCACTTCTCTGTTCCCTGAGCCTCTATTAAGACATGTATATAGCTTGAACTTGAAAGTATATGCATATATTTATTAGAAAGAAATATCCACAGGTGGAGGTCAGTTGTCTAATTCTTGCAAAAATGTAAACTTTAAAGATATTGTTTTAAAGAAATAGCAATTTAGGAAGACATCCTTGTTTATAAATTTTATTAACTGTCATCTTCGTTTCATTTTAGCTTACACACTGAGTTTAGTCAGTTAATAAGGAAGTTTCTGACTAATAACAAAGCTCAAAATTAAGAAAAAAATCTGATTTGAAATTATAGTTTGTGGTTAGTTTATATGAAATAGAAAAAATAAGAGGAGTTTTTTTTTTAAGTAGCAAAAGCATGTATTATGGGAAGCTCATGATCTTGCATTTTGATCATTATAGGAGTTGAAATACCTGCTTCCTTTTCATATTTTAAATATACTGTAAGTTTTAGGGCATAAAAAAATCAGAAAACTATGTTTAACCTTCTTAATTAGAAGCCTCATAAATATATCAATATAAATATAGCCATTTCCTTGTCCAACAATGTCTACAATTAAATACAAAATGATAGTAGAAAATGATAAACAATATTTTCACTGCCCTTTCAGCCCTCCGAGTTTATATGTTATTCTATAGTAAAATAATCTGCTTAATTCATATTTAGACTCTTATACTTAGTAACAATATAAATCTCTATAGCTTATATTAAAATATTTTGAAAACATAGCTTGGAATTTGCATTGTTTAGTTAAAAAATTTATGTTGGCAGACCTAATACATGCCTGAAATCACTTTACTCTGCACTGATCAAATAGTCAATAATCCTTGTACATTTACTTCTGTGATTAGCATTATTTCCTTCAGTGATACATTTACTCTGAATAATGGGAGGAGCCATCGAATGGATAAATCTGTTTATAATTGCATGTCTAATAAATCCTGGAATTATTTTCTCAGGCCAAAATGCTTCAGGCACCTCTGCCTCATCTCTTTCTCTTAAACTCCACATCCTATCTGTGTAAAACTCTATCTTGATAACATTAAAAAATCCAACCACTTCCCACTCTGTCGAATTGTACTCAGCTAATCCAGTCACATTTAGGTCTGGTCAAGATTGCAATGGCTTCCTAACTCCTCTCCTTGCTTCCACCCCACTCCCTTATCCTTATAACGGTTTAACATTTCCTATCTATATGAATAAAGCAAGTTCTTTTGAATGACCAACACATTGATAGCATTTAATAGATTTAGACCATCTTTCAATGTGTGACTACCACTTTCTTGATGAATGTCCTAAATTACTAATGTTCAAGAGAGCTGGAAGCTTCAGTGCCCATCAGAACTGGCAAGACATCTCATTTCTGAACTCTAAAGGGCTTCCTATAGGGAAGGCTTGTTTTAAATAGCATTCAGTAACTTCAGTTGAACTAAATTGCTCTGTTGCCTGAATAATATAGCAAAGAGAAGGAGACTTCTGTTATAATATTGTGTCAGTAGAAAAATGCTTTCTGAGATTCAAACAATTAATTCATAAAAAGTTTTCAGATCAGAAATTTAACAAATAACTTCCTTTCATAAAAAAAGTTTATGTAAAATAACTTTCATAAATAATGTTTACTTAAAAGAACTTTTATAAAATATTCAGATATTAGAAAATTCTTATATATAGCATATACTTAAAAATTTATTTTTAGAAATATTTTACCTCAAGACGGAAGTCTATGGTAGCATTTTATTACACGTATGACCACACATTTCATTGTCAGCAATAGACCTTTTTTTAACATTTGGGATTCTGATATTCTTGCTTTAACTCTGGTTTCCTATATCATGGCCAAAGAGAGAGAGAGCTGCCCTTAGTCTGTTCATTTGGGACTTCCCTTAAATTAGGGCTTGGTAAACTATGGCCTAGCAGGCCAAATTCTGCCTGCCACTTGTTTTTGTAAATACAATTTTATTGAAACACCGACATGTTAATTTGTTTAGATATTTTCCATGGCTGCTTTCACATGACAACATCAGTAGTTATGACAGGGGCCATATGGCCTGTAAAGCCTGAAATATTTACTATCTGGCTCTTTACTGAAAAACTGTGTCCAACCCTGCCCAAATAAAATTCCATGGTCTGACTGGGTGAGGTGGCTCATGCCTGTAATCCTAACACTTTGGGAGGCCAAGGCAGGTGGATTGCCTGAGGTGAGGGGTTCAAGACCAGCCTGGCCAACATGGCAAAACCCCATCCCTAGTAAAAATACAAAAATTAGCCAGGCATGGTGGCACATCCCTGTAGTCCCAGCTACTTAGGAGGCTAAGATAGGAGAATCGCTTGAACCCAGGAGATGGAGGATGCAGTGAGCCAAGATCGTACCACTGCACTCCAGCCTGGGTGACAGAGTGAGACTCCATCTCAAAAAATAAATAAATAAATAAATAAATAAAAATAAAAAATAGGCCGGGTGCGGTGGCTTACACCTGTCTGTATACCCAGCATTTTGGGAGGCCAAAGCCAGCAGATCACAAGGTCAGGAGTTCGAGACCAGTCTGTCCAAGGAGTTCAAGACCAGTCTATCCAACATGGTGAAACCACTTCTCTATTTAAAAATACAAAAAGTAGCCAGGCACAGTGGAGCGTACCTGTAGTCCCAGCTACTCGGGAGGCTGAGGCAGGAGAATCACTTGAACCCAGGAGGCAGAGGTTGCAGTTAGCCGAGATTGCACCACTGCACTCCTGCCTGGGCAGTAGAGTGAGACTCTCTCTCAAAAAATAAAAAATAGGCCAGGCATGGTGGCTCACGCCTGTAATTCCCAGCACTTTGGGAAGCTGAGGCAGGCAGATCACAAGGTCAGGAATTCAAGACCAGTGTGGACAAGGAGTTCGAGACCAGCCTGGCCAACATGGTGAAACCCTGTCTCTACTAAAAACAAAAAAATTAGCTGGCCGTGTTGGAGTGCGCCTGTAGTCCCAGCTACTCGGGAACCTGAGGCAGGAGAATCGCTTGGACTCAGAGGTTGCATTGAGCCGAGATCGTGCCATTGCACTCCAGCCTGGCGACAGAGTGAGATTCTGTCTCAAAAATAAGGAAATAAATAAATAAATAAATAAATAAATAAATAAATAAATAAAATTCTATGGTCTAGTCCTCTAAGTATATCCCTAGATATGTCCCATGAAGGCTAAAGGAATTTCTTGTCAATGCATGAATTTCAAGCCCAGAGTCTTGCTGAATATGCAAAAAATATTTTCATTCAATAGCAAATGTTAAGCAATTACATTGCTCTATCATTTGTCTGTCTTTTATGAAGAAATCCATGGGTAACATAGTGAAAATACCCAGGGAAAAATCACTTTATACCATACGGTAATGAATCTGAATCTATAGGAATCTTAATACATATGAGCACATGTCCTTAGAGGAAAAATAAGGATGTTGCTAAAGGAGAATCTCTTTCACAATCTAATGGTATTTTTTTGCTGATACAGATTGTAAATATTAAAGTAACAGTTCACTGTACTAAGTATGTATGTACACACATGTAATACTGAAGATAATAAAACTGGATGTTTCAATGGCTAAATTATTTCACCATGTTTGAACAACTTCAAATGGCTGGAAAAGCAAATAATTCACAACACTGAACTTTTGAACTATCGATCCTTCTCTTATTGCACCTCCTTCCCCAAATTCCCTTCTTCTAGCAGCTCAGACCAAAACACTTGAGGCATCTCTGCCTCATCTCTTTCTCTTAAACTCCACATCCTATCTGTGTGGAACTCTACCTTGATAACGTTAAAAAATCCAAACACTTCCTACTCTGTTGAATTGTACTTGGCTAATTCAGTCACGTTTAGGTCTGGTGAAGATTGCAATGGCTTCCTAACTCCTCTCCTTGCTTTCACCCCACTCCCTTTTCCTTATCCCACTCCCTTCTCAAAACAACAAGGTGATCTTTGCCACTTCCCCACACAAAGGGACCAGGGACTTTTGGAGAAATAGTTGATTCCTCATTTGAAGCAGAGAAAGTTTGAGGTGATTCTTGAGTATCTTATTATTTGAAAGCCAGAAAGTGTTTGAAGACTAACGGGAATATAGCAAAGTCACAGGGGCTTGAAGTAGCTTCCATTGGCCAAACAGCTTAACTTGACAATTAAAAGAAAAAAAATACAACATGTTAGGAAATAATAAAAATAACAACTGGAATGACAGTAGTAATACAAATATCAACATTATCAAAAACTCTTAAGTCCACACTGATCCTAAATAAAAGGTGGTAGGAGTGAGATGAGAGAAAGAACATCTTCACAGAGTGTTAGTGGACAAATGCATTATATTTCACCAACCAATGTAATAATTAACTTAGATAAGCATTATCAATGGATGCTAAAACCACTGGCCAACATGGATGCTAAGTTAAAGATGCTGAGAAACAGAATATTCACGTGAACTCTGTGTCACTCCATAAATTTTTAAAAATTAATTACAAAGAGAATAAACTATCTTTAAAAGCGAAAGATTTAATGAACACTAACCTATTCAACAAATTTAGCAGGACTCATGAGATAAACTGCTGCTCTATGCCTCATGCTATGATGCAGTAGGAAGTACACAATTACTTATCTCATGTTCTTGCTGAAATGTCCAGTCAAAATTTGATCAGGAGGAAATAATCAGACAAATCCATCCAGATTGTAGGACATTCAATAAGTAACTAGCTTATGTCCTGAAAGACAAAAACAGGGGGCCATGGGGGAGACATGGAGCTATTTGTCCAGGATAGGGATGACGAGAGAAACGACAAGCAAGTGTGATATGTGATCTTGACTGGATTTTTGATTTAAAATTTTTAAAGAATATTTTAAGACAATGAGAGAAATTTGTGGCCTATATACTAGAAGACATTGTATCAAAGTTAATCTTGGAAGGTGTGATAATGTTGTGCTTATGAGACAAATTTCCCTATTGTTAGATGACTCGTGTATTTAGTAGTAATTGCCATTGTACATGACAAATTTCTTTCAAATGGCTCACCACATAGAGTAGGAAAAACAACATGAAATTGAAATAATATATATGGAAAAATAAAACAAATCAAGTAAAGTGCCAGTATTTGAAAATACAGACATAAAGAAATACAGCGGTTCATTTTATTCTTTTAACATTCTATAGATTTGAATTAAGTACGAAAACAAAAGAAATACATACATTACATATAATATAGCAGATTATGCCACTTATTTGCTCAAAATCTTCCAAAGGATCCCCACCTCAGTCAAAGATAAAGTCAATTCCACTAAAACCAATGACAGGTGGTTGATAGAGGTGGGGTGAACATGTGACAACAAAAGGAGGACATTTTGGGGAGCAATGGAACAGTTTTGCACCCTGAGTGTTGTGGTATCTCCATAAACCTGTACATGCCACAAAATCCAAACAAGTTTACACCAAACAACAATGAAAAGTCAATGTATGGGAAATCTCTTGGCGCCTGAATAAGGTCTGTATCTTAGTTTATTGAATTGTACCAATTCCATTTTTCTGGTCTTAATATATATGGTTACATATATATTATCATTGAGGGAAGCTGAGTGAAGAGTATGTGGGGATGCTGTACAGTTTTACAAATTCTGTAGTCTAAATTTATTTCAAAATATTATTTTTTAAATTACTTGCAAGAGTTTGCATGATCTGCCCTAGTTACCTCTCTGACCTTTGCTACTCTCAAGCTCACCAGTTCTTCTTCACCTGTGGCCACCTTGCTGCTGCTTGCAGGGACAGGCCATCCTTGGGGCTCTGTGTTCCCTAACCCTGACCACCTCCTATCACATCACAGTCTTTTTAGCCATTATGTCCATCATCTGTCTTTTTGGCTAAAATGAATTTTGTAATAAAACAAGAATCTTTATTTTGTTGAAGGATGATATTGCCTGAAATATGCTTGGAACATGCTAGGCGTTCACTAAATAAGTGTTGAATTAACTAACAAATCTTGAAATGTCTGCACTGGAAGTTTTTGTGTGAAAAGTGGGGCATGCCATATTTCAAGAGAATACTGTTTTTTAAAAAAGGTAAATTGTATTGTGTATATTTGAGGTTTACCATATGATGTTATGGGATACATGTAGATAGTAAAATGGTTGCTCTACTGAAGCAGATTAACATATCTGTCATCTCACTTAGTTACATTTTTTAAACACAGAAGCTAACATCTACTTATTTAACAAAAATTTCTAATACAATATAATTTTAGTCACTGTAGTCCTTGTGTCTTACATTAGATCTTTAGATTTGTTCATATTACCTAATCTGTTACTTTGTATTATTTGACCTACATCTCCCCATTTCCTTTCTCCCCATTCCACCCATGAAAACTGCTGTTTTATTTTCTGTCTATTTTTTCAGATGCCACTATAAGTGAGATCATACAATATTTTTCTTTCTGTGTTTTGCTTATTTCATGTAGCATAATGTCCACCAGCTCCTTCCACATTGTCACAAATAGCAGCATCTTCTTTTTCAAAGGCTAAGTAATGTTCCTGCCTCTGGATGTGTGTGTGTGTTTGTTTATAATTTTCTTTATCCTTTCTTCTGTCAACAGACACTTAGGTTGTTTCCATTATCTTGGCTATTGTGAGTAATGCTGAAATGAACATGAGAGTACAGATATCTTTACAAGGCTGTGATTCCATCTCCTTTTGGTATATACCCAGAGGAGAGATTGTTGGATATGTATGGAAGTTCTATTGTTAATTTCTGTGGAACCTCCATGCTCTTTTCCACAATGGCTTTTCCACAGTGTACATTTTCACCCACAGTATACTGGGGTTCTCTTTTCTCCCCACCCTAGCCAACATTTATTATCTCTTGTTTTTTTGATAATAGCCAATCTATTGGGTATGAAGTGATATCTCATAGTGGTTTTAATTTGCATTTCCCTGATGATTACTGATGTTGAGCACCTTTTCATATATATGTTAGCCATTTTTATGTCTTCTTTGGAGATATGCCTGTTTTGGTCTTTTGCCCATTTTTAAATCAGGTTATTTATTTTTCTGCTATTGAGTTGTAGGGTTTTTTAATATAAATTTTGGATATTAACCCCTTATCAGTTGTGTGATATATTTTTCCAGTCTGCAGGCTGCCCTTTGTTTGCATTTGGTTGCATTTTGTCAGTGGTTTTCTTTTCTATGCCAAAGCTTTTAGGGTGTAAGATTTACCTAAAGCTTTAACAACAAAATTTAACAATATTCTTCAGCTTGCTCTATTGACAGAACATAATATTACTCCTTTCTTTGCCTTTTGTTTTGCACACAGTCAAAATCACCCTCTGTGCTGACTTCCACACCAGACTGATTCATGAATGGCTGCTTTTTCCCATTGTTTCCTGTTAGGACTCTATGGTCCTCCACAGCATTTCCACTGAAATCTTTGAGGCCGTCCTGCTATTTCTCAATACATAGCAGCTGCTAAGCTATCCTGCTGTCTTCCATTATCTGCACATTTCCTTCTGTGGAGTTATATTCCAACAAAGGTTCCTGACATGCTGGCTGAGCTTGCTCTTCTTACAATGCCATTTGATTTTCAGTAAGGTTTGCTAGCAGATGATGAGATGGCAGAGGAAGCCAGTTATGGTATTTGCTATTAGACTCAGTCTTCAAGAGGCTGTAAGGACTTCCTTGTTTGAAAATCTGCTAAAAATTATTTTATATTCTTCAGAATTATTTGATTTTATTGTGACACTTGTATATTCTTTCTTCTTGATGCTCTTAGAAAAGTCACTCGTGCCTCAGACTGTCTTTATACCTGCATTTTTTTCCCATCAGAATGCTGACCTCCTGCCTTGTTCTTTGTATGTTCAGCTCCTTTGAATACTTCAGCCTTCAGTTAAAAGTCATCTGCACTGAGAGCTGTTTCCTTACCCCTGGATTGAAAATACACTTTTACTTGTTCTTCTCCATGCGGACCTTGCTTAGAACTTGTTATTTTTCATGTATTTTTAAGTTGTGTGCATTGTCTCTTTTCCAATGGCATGCATGCTCTATAAGAGCAAGGGGATCTTTGACTCCCCACTGTAGCCTGTCACCCAGCACAGGGTTTGTATATAATAAGTGCTCAAAATAAATATATCTTAAATAAATGGATATTTGACAAAAGTAATTTCTGGATGCTATTAGAGCATGTACCCAGAAAATAATTATTTGAACCCAAAGTGGCCACAAGTATCAGATACGCACTCATTTATAACTCTAGTATATTGTCCTTAACATTGCTCTTTGAAAGCCATTTTCAGTCATTTTATATTTTCAAGTAGTTTTTTAAAAAGTGATACTATTAGTTTGGTGCAAAAGTCATTGCGGTTTTTGCCATACTTTTAATGGCAAAAACCGCAATGAATTTTGCACCAACCTAATACCTTTGACCAACACACAGACACCCACACATACATATGAACACACACATTTATTTTATAGCATTATTAGTAAAATATTGATATTATTTAATTGGTTTACCTTTTCGAATGCCTACATCCAAAGATAACACAAAATATGCAATAGTTTAAGTCACAATTTTAGTTTTCACTGGAAAGAACCCAAATAATATTATAACTACTATCAAAAGGAACTCTCGTATTCATATCTACATGGCCTATGTAATATCAACTCCAACTGTTCACAGATCACTGTCATCAGTATTGATAGTAATAAAAATAAAAATATATCAGAATATTTACTCTCATGAGAAACTGTATTAGTTTCCCAGGGCTGCTATAACAATTTACTACAAACTGGATGACTTAAAACAACAGAATATATTTTTAATTGTTCTGGAGGCTAGAAGTCTGGAATCAAAATATTGGTGGGGCCATACTCCCTCTGAGGATTCTAGGGAAAATGTTTCCTTTGCCTCTTTCTAGCTTCAGACAGTGGCTGGAAATCCTTGGCATTCCCTGGCTTGTAGCTATGTCACTCTCATTTTTGTCTCAGTCTTCACAAGGCCTTATTCACAGTGTGTGAGCATTTTCCTGACCACTTTATGAGGACACTAATCATTAGATTTACAGTCTACCCTAATCAATATGTCCTCATCTTAATGTAACTAATTATATCTGCAAAGACCTTTTTGAAGCACGGTATTTCCCCGACCCGGTCGCATGATGCGTGACAGGGGTGCCTTGTTTACTCAGCCCACCTCTCTCAACTCCTAACAGGAGGGAGTGCGTAAGTGAACACAGCGGTAACTGGAGTCAGAAGCACTGGAACCGGCTGGCTGTTTCGGTGCCTGCAGGATCAAACTCTATTCACTCGCACCCACTGCGTTCCACCCACCGTGAGAGGGAGTGCGCAGGTGAGTGGGTGCAGGAGCCACAGCAAGCCCTTTTGGGCGCCTGCAGGAGCTAACTCCGTTCAGGCCCCTCAGCAGCATCCAAGCAGGATGCATGCAACTTCCGAAGTCCCCGAGGGCATGTTACAGCGCTCTTTTTTTTTTTTTTTTTTTTTTTTTTTAATTATACTTTAAGTTCTCGGATACATGTGCAGAAGGTGCAGGTTTGTTACATAGGTATACACGTGCCATGGTGGTTTGCTGCACCCATCAACCCGTCATCTTCATTAGGTATTTCTCCTAATGCTACCTCTCCCCTAGTCCCCTGACAGGCCCCATGCGTGATGATTCCCTCCCTGTGTCCATGTGTTCTCTCACATGTGAGAGCATGTGGTGTTTGGTTTTCTGTTCCTGTGTTAGTTTGCTGAGAATGATAATTTCCAGCTTCATCCATGTCCCTACATTGCTCTTTTCGCTCTGCTGTCTGCGGATGGCTTAAGTGTTAACAGCTCAGTAGGCCCTTTGCCTTTTTGCGTGAGGAGGCTGCCCTCCACCAGCAAGGGCAAAAGGCCAGTGTGATAGGCTTTTGTATCCACACTTGTGGCTCCCAAGCTCTTGTACAGCATCCATGAAAAATGAGGTTGCACGAACGAATTGAAGGATGGTAAATGCGGGGGATTTTATCGCTGGCGAAAGTGGCTCTCAGCAGTAACGGGAGCTGAAAAGGAGATGGGGCAGGTAGGTAATCTTCCCCTGAAGTCTGGCCATCTCGGGCCAGATTCATTTCTGAAGTTACGCCGTCAAGCTGTCTCTCTGAAGTCAATCTGCTTCTCTCTGAAGTCCAGCCATAGTCCCCAATGTCCAGTTGCTTCTCTCTGCCAGCTGAGTGTGGGGTCTTTCTAGGCACAGGATGGGAGTGGGGTGGGCCATGGGTAGTTTAGGAAAAGACAGCATTCAAGCAGGAAAACAGGGATAGAAGTTCTAATTTTGGGCCGTGGTTTCAGGCTTTTTGGCTTGATGGTGGGGTTTCATTGTGGACCCTCCCTTTTCTTCCTAGAATTGCTCTGCCCTCTGTCCCTATCACTATTTCCAAGTAAGGTTACATTCCGAAGTTTTAGGTGGACATGAATTTCTATTTCAGGGGAGGGGATGCATTACTCAACCCAGTAGAGTCTGCCCTCTGGCCTCAAAAATCCACGTCCATCCCATGTGCAACACAGCCCAACATTCCCAAAAGTCTTAACCCATTCACGCATCAACTCTAAGTCCAAAATCTCATTTAAATATGTTTGGTTCAAAAAGCTTCAAATCTTATCATCTGAATCAAGGATGGCCAAGACTCTGGGTGTGATCTATCCTGGGGCAAAATGTCTTTTCATCTGTAAATCTGTGAAACTCTTAAATGAGCTATCTGCTTCCTAAACACAATGCTGGGATAAGTATAGGATAGGCATTCTCATTCTCATAGCGGGAAACTGGAAGGAATAAAGGAGCTGCTTGTCACAAGCAAGTGTGAAACCCAGTAGGGAAAATTCCACTGGGTTTCAAGGCCTGAGAATAATCCTCTGTGGCTTGATGTTCAGTCCTATGAATCTGCAGATTCCTGGTCAGCCCTGTCCTACGTTCTCTTCCCCACCAACTCCTACCTCCCTCGTACCCCTTGCTCAGTGAAATCGTACTCATTTTTCAGTCTTAGTTTGACTGTTAGTTACGTATTCTAATGTAGATGAGTTCTCTTTTTATAAATTATCATATAAACGTTCATTCTTATCTTTGCTTACTAGAAATTATAAAGTTGAGTAATTTCACAAATAAATTAATCCTTGTTCCCCCAAGCAGGATTCAAAGGAGAACAGGAGAAGCATATGTCTTATTTGCTGTTACATCCCCAAAGCATAGGTCTATGCTTGCCACATCCTAGGCTCTCAGGAAATATTTATTGAATCAATAAATAAGATGGAATTCTGTCTTAAAAGAAAACAGTAGGAGTTTTGTGCCTTTTGAGTTAAAATAATGTCATGGGCAAAATACCTGATTTCATATTGAAGTTCCAAAGAGTCATTAAGAATATTAATGAAATGAAAATGTACTCTTATGCTTTAAATATTTTTCATTAATTTTTGTGGGTATATAGTAGGTGAATATATTTATAGGGGATATTAGATGTTTTGATATAACTCTTATGCTTTTAATGTAGTAATTTTAAGATTCCAGACAGAATTGCAGACATTTAAAAATTTTAACATATCCTTTGGAAATTGATTAAAAATTAAAAATTATGTTCAGCAACAATATAGAGAGACTCTCCCATAGGTGTTTTGGCCTAATATAATTTTTGTTATTATCATCATTTTCTACTGTAAGTGCATCTCTGACTTATAATTGTAATAAATAAAAAATGCAACAAATCTTCTTTCCAAAGCTACATTTCCCAAAACTGGTGTCATAGAGCATAGCATTTATTTAGAGATGCATCAAGAAAAATGGGGAATCCCTGACCACATAATTTTGGGAAATGTCATATTCAATATCCTCCTTCAACAATTAATTTTCATGAAGTTCGTTAGGTGATATAAATAGCTCTGCGTAGTTCTACAGAAAAAAAGTTATTTTCTAAAAAATGTTGCTCCTTCAAAAACTTTTATTTTAATATTTTTTGTAAATATCTTGATACACCATTATTTTATAAAATAATTTTGGCAAAATATGTAATGCAAAATGTGATATGGCTTTTATTATTTAAATTAATTTATATTCTCATTTAGGATAAAGCAGTTTAACAATGCCTTCTTTCAAATAAATATAATCTGATTTCTTGTTATTTCTGTTTATTTGCTGAAATTATAATTTCAGAGAAAAGTATAGCAGAACCAATTGCTTAATTTCTGACCCAAGTGCAGACATCAAGGAGTAAGCAATGCATCACTCCTTTTGTCATGTGGACATTATGAAATTTAGTACATTCTCGGTAACTGTCAAGTCCTGAGAATGAGCACTGGTTAGATACCTGGGCAACCTTCTTTTTGTACCCTCTTCCTCCATGTCAAGTTTCTCTGCCTTTGGGGAATGTGATACTAGGAAAAAATTTCTGTAAGATATACACAAGGTAATTTCTATTTCTCATTTCTACTTTAAAAAGTTTTAGGATTTGATTGAAAATTTGCTTAGGAACTTGTTGTTACTCAGGATTTTCCAGTCTGGCGGACACTACCAGAAGATATATAAACACAATTAAATTCCTAGCTTAGCTCTGAGCTCTGTCTTCTGGACTTCAAGATAATCCAGAGAGACGCAATCCTACCAAGACACTCTAAACTCATTGAATAATAAAAATAGCATAAAGTATGAACCCATTTAATATTCATAAAAATTCTATGAAGTGGGCATTTGTATTGATTTCATTTTATAGATAAAGAAACTGAAACCTACAGTTCAAGTCACTAGTCCTAGGTCACACAGTTACTAAGTGAAACAGATGAGATTTGAAACCAGGTCAGCTGGTTCCTTACTCTTAATTACTACACCTTACAGCCATCATGTTCATTGGAAACTATTGTTTTATTGAAGCCAGCTTAGTTCCCAGGTAGCTGAATTTATCTTCACATTATTAGACTTTAAAGAGTTCTGTTTCACATTTTAGTGTGTCAGTGTTGAATTGAGGATTTAAATTCAATTTTAGCATAACACATAAATCAGTGAACTTCAATTACTACAGATTTTGACTAAAAGTCTTCTGATTTTTTTAAAGTAAATATTTATAAATTAACTCTCAATTTTTCTCCAACCCTAAGAATATAACTTTTCTTACATAAGTAGCATATTCGGTCATCATTGGTAATTTTAATGCTTTCTTTATGTTTCTTTATCCTTTATGCTGTATATTTTTATGTTCTCCTTTGATCTCTATAATTCTTCTGATATTTCTGTTCGGACTGTAAACAATTGGTTTTATTAAAAAATAATCATTTACAAAAACAATTCAATAACAAATGAGTAGACACACAAATTAGCAGTGAAAAATATGATCACATACCAAATACAAAATAACATTCTCAAAACCCATTTTAACGTGTTCAAATACAATTTTCTTCAGAAATAGAAATTCACCAATTCAACCTTGAAAGGGCTAAAACCTCTGAAAGTCAATGACTTAAAAAAAATTTCAAATAGTATTTCATTAAAAAAATGAAATTGTCTAATGTTTTCTACCACTTCTCATATTATGCTTGGATGCATTTTTCCTCAGAGAGCATAAGACAATTTGCAGAGTATAAGCAAACTGAATGAATAGAAATCAGATTCTTTCTAAGGCAGAGCTAGAAAGGAAATAGGATAAAACATGTAACAGAAGGTGAGTGAAAACAAATCAGGAGCAGTGGGTAAAGTAAGCTTACCTTGCCAAATGTTCCATTATAAAAGTTATAGTATCAATGATAGAAACTTTAGGAAATTTAAGATGGCGGACATCCTTACAATTTTCTTTGTAAGTACATTTAAAAAAGATGTCTGTGTACTTCAATTGGAAGGGAATGAGGGTTGACTCAAAGCATATAATTAATTATCCTTGGCTATTTTACACTGTGGCTAATTCAGATGTTACTCTCTCAGGAAGACAGGGAGAAACTTGATTTATTTTGTCTGGAATCCTATTCTTATTAAAAAAGAAAGGCTTAGGCATCTACTGACTGACACAAGTCACAGCCCTGCCATTCCCCCTGGAAGCCAGGAAGCAGAATAGCAAAGAAAGGGTGTTTCTAAATGAACATTAAAAGCCCTTCACCATGGAGGAAGCTACATTAAAGGTAACGTCTTGGCAAGGAAATATTGCTGTTTAGCTATTTTTTTTTAAATTAACTTTATGAAGGCTGTCCTGGTATGTTCAAATAACACAAAGTCAATCTTTGGTTTATTTCTGTTTAAGCTTTGGCTTGCTTTTTTAATCAAAAATTTTAAAACAATAAAAAATTAAAAGCTTAGAATAAATGAAGGCCAAACTGACTTAACGTTTTATACTAGAATATTAACAGTTGCTGAGGTGATGCTGAGCTCAATTTTGAGAAAAGAACAACAGATAAACTGACAGGATAACATTTTATTTTAAAACAGTGTGATTCCATTAGGCTACAAGTATGTTTTGTTAGTAATTTTAACTGATTTGAAGCTCTCTTTGCTATTGCTCTCATTTCACATTGACCTTCAGTAAAGTATGCAAATTGTTACAATGATGCAAAAGATAACGTGCAGTTCCTAATAGCTAGGATGGGCTTACTGATATAGGTTAAGAAAAATTATGAAGTTAATTACTTGTGGTAGGTTGATGTAACTCAATCCATTTTTCCTAGGGATGCATTTAAATGCCAAAAGAAACAATTCACTTGCCCCAGCCCACACAAGTCAGTAGTAGCACAGGGTGGTGTTTGAGAGGGATTAAAATTCACAAATTCTGACACTTAGTCTACTAAAC
Source organism: Homo sapiens (assembly GCF_000001405.40). NCBI lineage: Eukaryota > Metazoa > Chordata > Mammalia > Primates > Hominidae > Homo > Homo sapiens. The sequence goes on from NC_000003.12 coordinate 89,268,273, forward strand.
CACATCAGTTTCAAACTGCCCTCAGTAGATCAACTTTCTTCTTTCTGGAAACATGTGCTTCCTAATGCTATTGCTGATGAAAGATATGTCTGTTCATGTGGCTAATCTTCATTGCTTAGAAACAATAAGAAAGGTTCGCTCATCTTAAAGAAGTTCAGTGCATTCTCAGAAATTTAAAGGGATACTTCAAGTTTCTAAAAACTCCAAATTTTATTTTCCTTTTTCTTATTTCTTGATATGTGTGGTCTATCTGGTTTTCATGTTTCTGTTTTTTTTTAAGCCACCAACAATTTTATCATATAATTAATGTGTTTGAAATCAAGAAAATTGAATTCACTTTTAGTAGTGTAGACAGTTACCCTATTATAAATTATATCTATGACATATTTAAAAAGAAAACTTAACTGCTGATTTTTTAGGAAAAAGAAATCTTGTCTATAGCACTTTAGCTATAGCAGTAAATCAGCTGAGGTATTAGAATTTTACAATGTTCTCTGAGGAAAGTGAAATTTATTATTGGCTTTTATATACTCCATTATTTTCACAAAGTGCTATAAAATAATTTTACAAGTTTTTTTAAACCTTCCTGTGTTGTGATAAATGATATAATTTTTCTTATTTATAAGTTAAGAAAAAAAAAACAACCTCAGGTCAAAGCAAGGTTGTGTATTTTATACAAGGTCGTGTGTCTTATACAAGGTCATAGGATAAACCCATGGGCATTAGTTAGAATTTTAAAAGTAATATGGTATTATGGCATTACTACTTTTACTTTTCTATTCTTTTAAACATCACAATCTACTTCGAGTGTTGCTTTTGTAAATCTACTGACCAATAAGATCTTTTAAGCATTTAATGTATATCATGTGCAAGACCCAGTTTTAAGTGCCTTACGTGGGGTAAACTATTGAAACCTCAAAACAACTTATGAAGAATACTGTTTACACATTTTACAGAGAGACTGAGGCACAGAGACTTTATTATGACATGTCCATATCCAAGAAAGAGTATAGAGCAGTGACTTGGAACATTAGTTTCCAAAATGTGAATTCCAGACCAATAGCATTGATATCATCTGAGAATATATTAAAAATGCAAATCCTTGGTTCCTACCCCAGACTGAGTTAAAAGCTTGATGTACAGGGCATAGAGAATAGTTTTTTTTATAATTTATTATTATTATTGTAGACACAGGGTACTGCTTTGTTGCTCAGGCTGGTCTCAAACTCCTGGCTTTACGTGATCCTCAGTGATCCTCCTACCTTGGACTCCCAGAATGCTGTGGTTATAGGCATGAGCCACCCAGCCAGAGTGACAACAATTTTTTTTTCTTTCTTTTTTTTTTTTATACTTTAAGTTTTAGGGTACATGTGCACATTGTGCAGGTTAGTTACACATGTATACATGTGCCATGCTGGTGCGCTGCACCCACTAACTTGTCATCTAGCATTAGGTATATCTCCCAATGCTATCCCTCCCCCCTCCCCCCACCCCACAACAGTCCCCAGAGTGTGATGTTCCCCTTCCTGTGTCCATGTGATCTCATTGTTCAATTCCCACCTATGACAAAAATTTTTTTAACAAATGATTTTGATGCATGCCCTTGTCTGAGAACTACTAGTTCAGAAGATAGAGTCTAAATTCTCTGCCTTTGACTCACAAGATTTTCATTTACAGGGTGTGTGGCTTCAAATCACTGGTCTTTCAGGGTCTGAGTTGGGTTATCTTTAGAATAACACTGGGAATACTAGTAGCTCTTCGATGGGGCTGCCAAAAGGACCAAATGTGAAAGCCTACTTCAGGCAGGTAGTATATCTTCTGTGAATACCAAATCCAAAACTCAATTTTATTATTTATAAGATTGAAACTAATTATTATATAAAAGATTCATTAATTTAATGTATTAAGGCATTCTGCATGGTACCTGACACTTAGTAAATGGTTAGAAACTGATATCATGTTATTATTTTTATTACTACTACTATGATTCATCATTATCACTGTCAGTCATTATTTGAGTTGTGGAAAACTAGGCTATTGGTTTACCTATGACCTTTATACTCAGAAATCCCTTTCCAGCCTCCTTCTGCCAGGACTTCCACGCACTGTCTACTCATTTGTGTCTGTCTGTCTTTGGCCAGCTGTTAGTCCACCTGTTTTAGTCATGTAGACAGCTTCTCCTGATCTACAGCCAGCCTGATCCTCACTTCTGTCTTATTTCCTTAAGGAGAGATGCAATAATGTTTTAAATTGTGTAGCCTGAGTATGAATTCAGTCCACCATAAATAATTAAATGCATGACCTCTCTTATTGAGTGTTTCTTTTCATTGATGTTCATAAAACTTAAACAAATACATGTGATCAATCTTGTCTGTGCCCCAGAGTTGTAACTTTTTGAATGAATTCAATGTCAACTTGCAAATATTATTTCTTCAAAATTTCCTCTGTATGTTATTTTTTCTTCTATTTATTTCTGATAAAAATTGTCTGTGCTTTTTGATTAAAAAGCAAACAAAACACACTGGGCTCCTCTAGCAAATTATTTCTCAAGCTACATATAAAGTAAACTAGAGAAAAGAAAAAGTTATTAAGAAAATCATAAGGAAGAAAAAATATATTTGCTGTTTATTAAATCAGAGTAGATCATCATAGCGGTCATCCTCATTGTATTCACATTAAGTAAGCTGAAAAGGAGGAAGGGGAGGGATTGGTCTTAATAATACTTTTCTTTAATCAAGTTAAAAAAACTGATATGGAAAGAATAAGCCCTCCCTACTATTTGTAGCTATTGTACAAACAAAATATAGATTATACTCAACATGTTCTTCCTTATTAATATTGTTATATGTTCTGCTTCAGCATTGAGACAAAACATCTGTGTATTCTTATTCTTCAGGAAATGTTAGGTCCAATAATGTTGAGGAAGGCATAATTTTACCTATAAAGTCACTGTATTACCTTTTGTATAAGCAAGAAACCACAAGAAAAGCCGAAAAAAAGAAAACAAAGCTTAGCTAGAAATGGCAATGTAAAGTGGGGTTTGTTAAAATGTGAAGAAAGTATTATAATTCCCTTGCAGAGTACAGCAAAGTTAGGTATATTTCTGAATGGTGTTCATGATAAATGTATTTTTCTAATGTTTTTTTAATGGCTGAAATTCCTAAGGTTTGCTATGACATGGAGGCGTCAAGAAACCTGCAGCAACTTGGCTTTCTCTCACCTTTAGTGTTCTTGAAACTGATCATGTCTAATATGCTTTCGATCTCTGGCTTTATATTCAAGTCTTCCATTTAACTGGTAGTATGTAAAACAAAACGTATACTGTTTTTACCTGCCTCTATTTATCTCCATCCATACCGATAGCTGATGGTTGATTGTAATATGTTGAAATAGAAGAATAGCAATAGAAACAGAAAAAGGAGGAGGATGAGAAGGGGAAGGAAAAGCAGAAAAGAAGAAGGAAAAAGAAAAATACCAGGAAGAAAAAGAAATTACTAGAAATTAAAAATAGAAAATGCCATCAAGCGAGTCACTTTTATACTGGGCCCTCGAACAACATGGGTTTGAACTTCACGGTTTCACTTATACATAGATTTTCTTCCACCACTGTCACCCTTGAGACAGTAAGACCAACCCTTCCCCTTCCTCTTTTTCAGCTTACTTAATGTGAATACAATGAGGATGACCACTATGATGATCCACTCCCATTTAATAAATAGCAAATATATTTTTTCTTCCTTATGATTTTCTTAATAACTTTGTCTTTTCTCTAGTTTACTTTATTGTAATAATATAGTATATAATACCTATAACATACAAATACGCATTAATCGACTCTTTAAGTTGTCAGTAAGGCTTTTGGTCAACAGTAGGCTATTAGTAAAGTTTTTGAAAAGTCAAAAGTTATGCATGGATTTTCAGCTGCATGGGGAATCAGTGACCCTAATTCCTGCATTCATTGTTCAAGGGTCAACCGTACTACCATTTTTTTTGTACCAAATGTATTACCATTTTTTTTTGGCTATGATCCTTAAAAATGAAAATAAATTCTATTCTTTTTAAAAATTTAAATAAAAATATTTTATAAGTCATATAATTTGGCTAATATGTCACACAGCTGTGGTTGTATTGATAGATTACAAAAAATTTCATCAGCTTTAAACCAAAGCCCTCTCTTAAAAATGATGCAGTGTATTTCAACTTTGCCTTGTTAAAGTGTCAAGAAATTTTAATCCATTAAGAGTTGTTAAAATGTGGAAAATAAGGCATGTGCTATGCCAGATTTTTAAGTGCCCATGTGTTTGCTCTTAGACAAAGAGTTGTGTTAAGTAGAATCGTATTTCTCATTTTTCTAGTTGTATGTGATAATTGCACTTTAAACTCCTCAAATTCACTTCTGTCTGACGTGGCTTTGATCTTTTACTTGGTCCACATTTTACTTACTCTTTTTCTCTTTGTCCATGTTCATACTCATAACCAATCATGTTTAAAAGTAACTATGGAACACATGGAAAGTTGGAATATTATTGGGATAATGAAAGAACTTATTTTTTACAACTTGATGACATAGGATTTAAAGTAAACGTAAATCTGGGAGGTGCTTAATAGAATTAATGTTCTCTGATGGTCACTGTAAAACACTTAAGAAACCATGTATCTCTGGCTTAAAATAAATTCTGACTACATTATTTATTACAAAATTATAATCTACTTACATTGGTTAAGTGACTATTAAAGGAAGTGAATATTTTTCTTATCTAAGCAAGTAGCTTGTAGGCCAAAAATACATTTGGTTTGATGGGAAGATAAATTTTCAACATTTTAAAGTAATTTTTTAACGTTTGTATGCATTGTGAGCCAAAATATTTGATTTCTTATTCCAACTGCTTTAACTCTAGCCATGTTCTTTTGAAGACATTACTTTCTCTGAGAATCACTTTGCTTATTTGTTAATGGAATATGGAAATGCTTGTAAATACCTAAAAAGGAGGTACAAGTGACATAAAGTAAAAAACCTTAAAAGGCAGTAGGAATGTAAGTCATTGTTATTTTCTTTGTTGCCATTTCTGTATTCTATCTATTCATGTTATATCTCTCACTGTTTATACCTTAGTTTAAACTTTATATTAATAGAACAGTAGCCAACTTTTCTTTTTGCCCATTTCCATCAGTCTTATTTGCACAATCTAACTTCGAAGAGAGTTTTTAATAAATATAATTGATGTGAATGGATGCTTGTGAAGTGGAAACTGGAGTAGCAAAAAATATGCCAAGAGTGAGAAGATACTCAGTTGTAGTGTTTACAGTAAGTTTTCTTTATCCATGGTAGTTATATTGTATAAAGTTGCTGTGACTATTGAATTGCTGCTCCTAGGGGAAATACAAGTTTAGCTTCCTGAGGGCACCTGGTTACAACATTGTCATCAAATGATCAATACATAGTCTTATTTTATGTATGTTTCTGTTTTAAGGCACCTTATTTAATATACAGTTGATTCATTAACATTAAAATCATGGCCAATAGCATGCAACTACTGCCAGAAAGGATATTTTCTAACATGTATTTTCTCTGTAAGGCATATTACAGCCTTCTTGCATTTAGGAACACTGGCTGACATTTTACCACTGTGCTTTCGGGCCATTTTATACAGCAAAATCACTAACAAAAAGCACAGAAATGTGAAAAATGAGGCACTAAATAGACAGTTATTTACAGTGTGAGAGTTGAAATAAGAAGGCAGAGAGTTGCCTTATTTGACCTCAGCTGAGAACATGCATGTCAGGCAACTCAAGTTTTTGCCATTCTGTCATGTCTACAAATGACTAGAAAGTGCCACAAGTATTGACTTTTGGGTCACAAATAAGTTTTAGCAAATATGTGAATTTGCAAATACAAAGTCCCCAAGTAAAAGATCAACTTTGTTATTTTCTATTTACCCACCACCCTCCCACTTTGTACCAGCCTCAACAATAATTGATGTTTTGTATGCTGTGCTTTAAATTTATTTTCATTTTAAAGATTCAAAAAAAATCATTCCATCTCTGTTATGTCAGTACTCTAGTATTTTTTGTTTTTAGCATTATTTAATACTTTATGAATATTGCAAACACTCAAACATTAACTGACTGAACTAAGTAATTTCTAAGCAATAAGCAGTATATTTAGGGAGGAGAAGAGTAAGGGAAATTTATTTAAGTGTAATCATTAGACTTTGTCTAATGATCTGTGTTAAATTCTTACATTTTCTAATGAGTAAGGAATAATACCCTCATCTGAAAGCCATAGATTTATGTGAATTAATAGAGAACAGACAAATATGTTTAAAAGAGATATCGGTTGTATCATAATTAAAATGACTTATCTAGAAGTGAAAATCAACACTCTTGATAGAGCCATCAGTTTAATATAGTAAATTGAATGCCTGCCTTGTACCTTGGGCTGTCAAAGTTTTCCGCACTTTTGGAGAATGGACAGCGATTTAGAATCGTAACCAAGGAGGGAAGAAAAGGCAGATTAACCAAAAAATTTTAAGAAGATTGGAGCCCAATAATCATGCATAATCTTCACCAAGCCACTCCTCCCAGTACAAAGATAATATAAGTGAAATTGTCATCTTTCCTGTCCATATGTATCAACAAATTTCATATTGTCATTTCACTAGCATGACAGATATGTCAGGCATGTCATTTTTACTTTATAATTCTAGTGCTGTTAACATCCTGCTCCATAGACATTAATACTTTCAGAACTTTGCTAATGATGAAACTGAAGCTTTGAGTGGTTGTGACTTGTTCAAGGTCAAATAGATAGTAAGTAGTTTAATTAAAATTGAAGTTCAAGGCTGAGTGATTCCAAAGTCCATAATTTTTCCGCTACATCAGGTTTTATATATATCAACCCAAAATTCCTACTATTGGATATGCTATGAGACAGTCCTTGCGGGAGCAATGTCAATTCTACACACTCCTTTCCCTGGAGATTCATGTTCTTCAGAAATCACTGACAGCTCCTAAAATCAAGAAGCTATGGTGGAAGAAAGAAAACTGTCGGCACCAGAGCCCCGTGATTTTCCTAATATCAGCATCTTCATGACTCAGGAAACTGGATTTCCCTCTACAACTATACGTTCCCTAAACCTTCAAAGTGTGTAGCTGGGAAAATGTGGATTCGTAGTCATACTAATAAAGTTCTTAATTTGTGAGAGCTCCAAACCCTCACCTATAATAAGTGAGGATTAGGTATCTTATCTCTGTCTTGGACACTAAGAGGTTCAAATGAGATATTGTAAGTGAAAATGCCTTTCAAAATGCAAGTCCATAACCCATTTACAAATGTGCTCACTGCCACCAGATTCTTTTCCAACACCAAATTTTCTCAGAAATATGAAAATTCTTCAATATTTTCCACAAGTGATAGCAGACAGGGTGAAATAGAAAGTTTGTGCATTTTATGTGCAGCTTTCATATTTGGTTTAAGTTTTCTGACTCTGTATCACGGAAAAATCTTGGTTTATTTTATTCATTGACTCAATATTTATTGAAGGCATACTAAAAGCTACGAACTTTGCTGAGAGCTGGTACTATAATAATGAATAAAGCAAATCTCTTCCCTCAGTTAAAGGGAATGCAATGCAATGCAATACAATATAAACCATATTTTTCATAACCCAGGAAATATACTTGGCCAAATTTTGGGGAGTTGCAGAAGGTGTCTGAACTAGAACCAGCAGGGTGAATAGCAGTCAGTGAGGCATAGTACGGGGGAGAAAAAGCAGAGGTAGAAACACTCAGGAAATAGAAAAATGGCTGTGCTTGCATTTTTAAAATAGATGCTCTCAAGGATAGGCATCTTCTAAAAATGTCCATACTCTCAAATCATATACAGGTAATTTCTCCCCCAGAACATACTCTGATTGCTTTATCAATGTCACAGGATGTCATCCATAAAAATATGTCAACCTTTTAAAGAAGTGGAAGTATGAAAAGGCTCATAACACTTTCTCTTAATCCCCTTCCCTCTCAGATAGGATGTCTATCAAGCATTGTACTGTACAGAATGAGGATGCCTCTGCCTGGGTACTTAAATTATTGATCAAACCTGTCACTAGCAAATTCTTTAAACTGGATACATTTTGATTGAGTAGGAAGGAATGTTTAAATGGATGCCTGACTGTGAAGAGAATGGTTTTGCAAATGTCTCCACAGTGCTCCTAATTGAAGTTCTGATAATATAGCATTGCAAGATAACTTGTTCTCCTCTATTTTTAATATGGCAATTTAAAATGTGCATATATATTAAAAAACACAGGAGTAGAAAGCATCAGAGATTGATAATACTCCTTTCCTCTCCTCTTAGATGTTATTTGGGAAAAAATATGAAATATGTTTGACTGAGTGAGAAAATAAGTTTTACCATGCCTTCTGTATTCAGGAGAAAGATTTATTATTCTAATCCGAATAGCCTTCTCAGGAAGTCTAGGTTCCCATAGAAGACAGGAAATTAAGTGTTTTTCTATAGCACTAAAAGACACATAATGTATTAAAGAGAATATCTAAAAGTCCGTCTGTTTTGAAGCTATCCAGCTGCAGTATTCTCTTGAAAAGATCATAGCAACTTTTCTCTTATAGTTTCCAAAGTGATGTTATGGATCAATTTAACAGTTTTCAATGAGTATATCCCTTTTAAAATGTCATCTTATAAAGTTCATGATTAATTGCATGAATATCCATATGAAACAGCATTGCCTCTCCTTAATCCACCTCCCCAATGAAAAGCTAAATGCATATGGACTAGCCAAAACTTTAGAAGACATGGTATCTTCGTGTGTTTGCTACTGAATTACCAACTTGCATGTCCTAGGAATAGTTTAATATGAAGGCATACAATTTCTCTGAAAACTACTTTTTCTTATCTCTAAATAATGGTTTCTTCATCTCAATGCAAATAATATTAAATTAAAAATGCATACTGTAATTCTGAATTTTAAAGTGGGAGAAATATACGTTTAAAGAAGTAATGATACCTAAAGTCCAACTATAAAGTAACAGTATGAGAAATCCTTTAAGCTCTTGAATATATTTCTAGCTAACATTAAAATGGATATTTCATTCAGTACAATATTCACTATATAGCCATATCATAGACGACTAGATTTGATATTTGAAATTTTAAAGTCTAAATTGGCAATTCAAAGATAAATCTTCTCCACAAAACTTTAGTTCAGAACTAGATAGCAATAGTAAAATTGTTCTAGACCACTGAAAACATGATTGTTTTAAATAAAGTGTTTTTATTTATGCATTTAAAGATATGTCACTGGGGTAGCATACTCTGGCCTGCTTTTGTTTTATAGGTTTATAATTCAAACTCTAAAGCACCCAGTTTAATCAGAAAAATGATCCCAGTATATTATATTTTTTTGTCATAATATGATGCCCTAGTGTTCTATTGCTCTTTTCTCAAAAATTTCCGGAAACTTTATTTTCCAGTGACTATTCCTTTTCCCATTTATGAAAATTCCCTATGCATTAGCTAATATGATTTAAAGCAATTTTGTTCTGTTTTCTCCTTTTTAAACATCTTTCACACAATGATTCTCTTTTGGACCCTCCATGGATGGTGAATATAATTTCAATGGGGTGTTTAACTCTTACTTCTCATACCAGAGTCAGGAGGTTGCCTTCAGCTGCCTTTTCAAGGAAAGTTCCTGAGGTTTGTCTCAAATGTATTTGATTTTTTTTGACAAAGATCTGTGCTTTTACAAGCTTTATGATGGGTTTATACTTTCTGCAAGTTGCCTTTCTAAAAACATGTGTAATTCCCCAGCAGTCCTTTAAAATAGAGTCAAAATACTTTTCTTTTGGAGAAGTTTTACCCCAAAGGCTAGTATGTTATATATATTTCCTGCTTTACTTTTCATTTTAAAAGATTTATTCTTAATCCCAGGCATATTGAAACATTATTCAGACAGGGTATCATGTTTGCTGGGTCTCTGTGGCATACTGGCAGCCTGCATCTTGCCACAAGGGTAGCTAGAAGCAGGTCTCTGCCCTGTAGGTGGCTGAAGCCAGAGAAGCTTGGCTCTTCCAGGTAGGAAATCAACCTGTCAAGAAGAGTCATGGAAACACGATTAGTTTACTAACTTCATTAAATGAAAACGTTTGCAACACAGGGCTCCCTTTGCTCTCAGTGTCTGCCGTTGCTAAACAATCCAGTGTTTCATGGGGCGAATGGAATGCCATGTGTACTCCCAGCAGGAGGACATTCCAGAAGGCCATGGGCTTCCTTTACCTGGTGATCTTGTGGACTTCATGCGCAATGGCCTATTTTGTGACGCTTTCTCTTCTGTATTTCTCAATAACCCATAACCACAGGTACACAAATTAGGAATAAAATGAAATAGAGGTCGCTCTGCTATTTTCAGATCTTGATAAACCTGATTTAAGATTTGTATATATAAGCTATCAACTTCTTGAGTAAAGCATTTCTGACGACTAGGCCCATTGCCCCAGAGGTTTGCCTTAATTTCCCAAAAGAAATGTGCTAAAATGAGTGCAAATTAACTTCCAAAAAGAGGATAGATTTCATTACTCTAAGTGCCTCATGCTGGGAGAAAGGTGCTGTTGAGCTCATATTTAAGGGTGATTAGAACTGCATCTTTTTAACTCGAGGATTCTCAAGTATGCATTCAACTTACTTGCTGGTAGTTTAAACTGTGGAAAATTTGAACCAAATGTGTATATAGTGTTTTTTTCCCCTCACATTTTTAAATAGCAGACTGTGGAAGTGTGGATCATTTAAATTCTAAGAGTAGTCTTTTATTTTAAATTTAAAATTGTTTTGCAAGTAAATAGCTAAGTCAAGTGAATTAAAAATTGTTTTGCAAACACATAGCTATGTCACTGTTCCTTAGAGTTTTTTTTAATTAACATACATACACACCCAGGAAACCTCATTTAGGTAGGCAGAAATATGTTCTCTTAAGTAATGAGTTTGAAAGAAAGTCTTTTCTTTTAATGGAATTGACACACTCTGTTTACCATTCTAGAAAAAGTTAGAGAAAAGGTCGGTGGCCTGTACTTGTTCTACACTTTAATATTTATAATCATTGAATACATTATATTCATAATAACTTATGTTTGCCATCATTAATTAATTTTAAATTTTTGGGTTTTTCAAACAAAATATATAGCTACCTATTGTGTTATTAGCTAAGAAATATGTCTAAGAAATGTTAAAAAATACATGATACTAAAAGTTATAAGAAATTACACATTGGTATTCAGTGATGTGAGCTAGTCTGCAAGTTTATTTTTAATGTAAAACTTTGGCTAATTGATTTTTTTTCTCATACCAGATAAATATTTCTTCATAAGGCCATCTTTTTCTAGAGTGGGTCCTGCAACACTTATTTGGTGCAATTCTAAAGTAAAGGTAGTACAAACATATTATATATTTGACTACTAATTTATCTTCTCATTAATTTGGTTACAGTCCTCCTTGCTAAGTAGTGAACAAGCCTTAAAGAAAAATAACAATAAATAATATCAAAGGGTTCAGTATTATTATATGCTGCATTGGGAAAAGCCACTCTAAATATAACACAAAAAGAAGGTAATTACTTCAATAATAAGAAATGATCTTTATTAAACACATTAAGTTGTGAACTATATTTTATTCATTCAGCTTATGAACTCAGGGGAAAATATATAGAGTTATTGATCACAATGTTTCAACAATTCTTGTGTGCACCTGTGTGTGTGTGTGTGTGTGTGTGTGTGTGTGTGCATTCATGCACATGTCAGAGATGGGAACACGGTATAATATTACATCAAAATAGCTAGCTACAGAATTGATGTAATGGCATAAATATTAAAATTACAGATATTTATTTCCTGCAAAAATAGATTTATTCAGTAAGGGCCATATTTCATAATAACTTTTGAATACCATTTCATAGAAAATACTGATATTTTGAGTGGAAGTTGGATGGACTTTTCAATAGGATTCAAGAAGTGAGTAGGTATAGACAGTCTGTTTACAAATCTGTGCTTCAGGTATATATAGAGAGTATCTCAGAGTTAATAGTAATCAATAAAAAGCCTCCAGAGGTTGAAGTAAAAAAATGGGGTTGGGGTTAGGCAAAGTGTGGCACAGTCGTCACATCTCCTCTGTCTATTATACAGCTTATACAAATCAGAGCACTTGGTTTGTGACAAGGGATGTTTCTATTCTCATTGATTAGTGCTGAGTGAACTATTCTGGAGGGAATGATTGTTTTCAGAGAGTCACGTGTGGTATAATTGGGTTTTAGTTGCATTGAGCAATGCATCAATGTAGTTACAAGACATGCATTTGGTACTCAAAGGCATCTGCACTGTATTTATGCATGTTTCATGTATGTACACATCCATAAAATATATCAAGGATGTACCACCTAGGAATAAATATGGCACAATCATACCTATTATGTGAGAACACATTAACAATACTGACTATATTACAACTATATCTTGCTATCTATGAGTAGGGTAGATTTTGAGTTATTTTCCAAGAATTTGAAACAAATTATTGTAAAACAGCTAAAGTCTGTGACGTAATCATGATTCTCGTGATTAGAATTGTATATTTTGCTTAGAATAGTAGCTTATAATAATACTAGGTATTATTTACTAAATACCATCCATGGTGTTCACATATTATCTAACCATATGAATCTTACAAGATTTTTATTATTTATTTATTTATTTATTTATTTATTTATTTATTATGACAGAGTCTCACTCTGTCACCCAGGCTGGAGCGCAGTGGTGCGATCTTGGATCAGTGCAACCTCTGCCTCCCAGGTTCAAGTAATTATCCTGCCTCAGCCTCTTGAGTAGCTGGGACTACAGGCCCACGCCGCCACGCCCGGCTAATTTCTTTTGTGTTTTAGTAGAGACGGGTTTCACTGTGTTGCCCAGGCTGGTCTCGAACTCCTGAGCTCAGGCAAACCACCTGCCTTGGCCTCCTAAAGTGCTAGGATTACAGGCATGGGCCACCACACCGGGCCTCTCACAACATATTATAGCTGTTTTACATATGAGAAAATCAGAGAGGGTAAGTATCTTGCCCAAGACCAAAAACCACTAGCAGATTTCTGAGCCAAGATATGAATGCAGCTCCCTTTGAAATGGAAACCTGCTCTAATTCTGCTGCAGGAGGTTTTCTCCATTATTGATACTGTGCCCTAAAATATTAACCAAAGATGCATTATGTACAAATGTACAGCCAGATACTGTCTGTAGTCCATCCTTCCTTTCAACAAATATTTACTGTTTAATATTCGTATAAATAATATATGCAATGCAAATATTAAAATAAGTAATTTTATTTAAAAAGTAATGTTTTCAAGATGTTCCACTGGAGATACAGCTTTGTTCTATAGTACATGGGCTTCAAGGAGAAATTTAGAACATATTTACATTTTACATTTTGCCTTTCTGCAACAAATCTTGTGTCCCCTGAAACTCTCCAGTGGGAATAGTGAACAGGGAAGGTGCCACACTAAACATCTCTCTCGATTTTATGCGCACTGTAAAAAAGCATACACATGGCTAATTCCAATCATTGTACATATGTGTTAGAAAATGGTAATATAGTTCTTTCAACACCTATTTTTAACAGTGTCTAGTTATTGGGCTGATGTGTCAGTTTCAATTTATCTGATAAAATTATGATTATCAAAGATGCAGATTATGTCAATTATATATTAAATAATTCACTGATTTACCTGTGAAAGTTTATTCGTGCAGTTTCATTCAGTAGTTTTATTAAACATCTACTATGAGTCAGACATACATCTAGAGTCAGATAAAATGGTGGGTAAATATAGGCACTATCTTGGCTTTTCTGACATTTCTCATGCTTGAACTAAAACAACCACAAAGTATCCAACTAATAATTTATTCAGAGTTATGATGAATGCTATAATAATCTACTTTCTAAGGTCACTGAGAAGTGACATTTAAGCTGATATCCTACAAATATGTACTGAGCACATACTATATGCCAGACTTTGTTTTGAGTATTGAGGAAATAGCAGATATTTATTCTCCAATATAGAATTTATCATACTTGTTGATTAATCATAAGTACTTTTTTGGGAGAAATATGTAAAAAGCATAGGTCATCTGCTATATACTTTTCATTTGGGAGTTTCTTTTCCCACCTTTTTTTTGTAGTTTCCACTTCCATCATCTTCCTACACATGGAAGAGCAAACCTCCATTATCTATTTTCATGGAAATTTATAGTTCATTGCCTTTAATAACAGGCCATAATTTTATTTGATTGCATACCATGTTTTCCCCCGTATTTTTATTTACTTTATTGATATTCTTAAAAGATTTACAATCAATTATAAGTACCAATTTGGGGATTTAAATGTAAAAAGTGAATAAATGTGAAAAATGAACTGGGTTATTGAATCATGCGTGATCTGTAGCCAATAGAGTGTCTTTTCTTTATGAGAAATAAACAGTCTCCTGCACCAAAACTGAAATGTGTTATGACTTTTTCAATATAATAATTTAAATTACTGTGAGCCATGATGATTATTTTGATCATGTTAACTGAAACATGAATAATAGGAGCCACTGAAAGGCTTTGCCTTTATTTCGTTGTATTAATCCTTGTGTTGTACAATCTTTGTTGTACTAATCTTTGTATAAATATCACTTTAAAAGTTGACAGTTTCTGTACTTTATTTGATACAGGAGAAGCCAGGCAAAATAATTATCATGGATCCAATCAATACAAATAACTACTCTTGGAAGTGCAGGTTTAAGGAGTTTGCTTTTAGGTGCAGTAACAGGGCATGAACAAGTTTTAACTATCATTATGGGTAATGGAAAGAATTTATTGTTGATGAATTAGAATCAACAGCAAAGTGAAAAAAGTTTAAACTGATTAGTGGTATTAGGTTTTTTGAAGATTCAAGCCCTTGTGTAACTGAAACGTCATGGAATTCTAAGTAGGTAGCTTCCTGAAACAGAGGAAAAACATAATGTTTCATTCTTTCTGACATTTATCTGGTGGGGGCTGGTGAGGGAATATGGTGGGAAATAGAGCACCTGAACATAGAAAGTAACAAAATGGAGTAAACTACTAATAATATTATAAGGGAAGAAAAACTGAATTACGTATTTTTACTTCGTAGAAAACTTCTGGCTAATTTTCTGACAGAAGAATAAACAACCAATTCTAAAATGCGACAACTCTTTTAATCTCAATATGCATTTCCCAACCAATGATGACATTTTACATATGCATTGCCACATAGTGAAATGAGAGCAGAAGCAAAGTAACTGAAGGACAGGCCAAATTAGGTCAAAAAGAGAACCCACTTCTATCCAGTTTTATTTTATCATATTATAACTCTTCAGATACAAATCTTATTGCACAGCACGGTGAAACACAAGAGAGAATTGATGTTCTATAAACATGGAGGTGCTCACTTTGCTGTTTGTGTAAACTTGAAAATTCATTCTTTCCCTTGTAAAAATGCTCTAAAATCAAACAAAGAAAATAATTATAATTAAACAAATGGAATATGTTTTGTCTTCTCTTTATTTTTTAAAAACAGAAGTTTTCCATATCAGGTTTATAATCAACAGTTTTTAGTTATGTATTTTAGTGGAATACTAAACATGAATACAGAGACATTTGTGCAGTCACAAATGTTTAAATTCCTACTGCCACACCATAAAAGACTAGGATTTTATTAATAAAATTTACTTTATACACATGTATAAAATAATGATCAGAAACTGTTATCAAAGTAATTCCAAATAAATGAAGTTAGATTTATATCTAAAGCCCACATTTGTTGTTATAGGAATGTGTTCTGGATTATGTAACACCTATTTTCACTTTTTAAAGTCCATACTCATTTACATTAATTAACTACACATTTGGGGTAGTTCTGTAAATTCATCTTGCTACGTTTATGATAGTTTTTTAATAGACTCAGGTAGAGTGACTGGAGTGATTAGTGAATTGGAAGCTATTGAAAAAAATAAACCATTTCTGGTGATGAGACTGCGGATAAACCAATCTAGAACATTCAGAAATATCTAACTTTTTTACAAAGTCAGTTCAAACAGTGAAATTTTTATCTACCATCACCTTTTTTTTTATCAGTTATATAATCTTAAGTACTTAACTTTATAATTTTCATGTTACTGATTTTAAAACCTTGAGTTTGATTTCTCCTGATTATTTCCTCTATGTAGAAAATAACAATTTCCTGCCATACAAATGATTATTTAGAATAAAATCAAAACGATATTTTAAAACAAAATAAAATTATATTATTTCCCGTAATCTATGCCTCCATCAGACCCCTTCAATGGCACTTTCTTTTGCATCTAAAGTGAAATTCAACTTATTACCATAGCCTAAAAGGCCCCAAATGAATTGTCCTCTCCTTCCTTCTCAGAACTTGGCTCCTTTGTCTCTCCTCTTTACTTAACTTACTCCAACCACGTTCTTCCACTTTAACATAGAATTAGAACAATTATTAAAATGTGTTAGCCGATGCGGTGGCTCACGCCTGTAATTCCAGCACTTTGGGAGGCTGAGGAGGGTGGATCACTTGAGGTCAGGAGTTTGAAACCAGCCTGGCCAACAGGGTGAAACCCATTTCTACTAAAAATACTAAAATTAGCTGGGCACGGTGGTGGGAGCCTGTAATCCTGGCTACTCAGGGGCTGAGGCACGGGAATCACTAAACCCAGGGGGCAGAGGTGCAGTGAGCCGAGATCATGCCACTGCACTCCAGCTTGGGCAACAGAGCGAAACTCTGTCTCAAATAAATAAATACAATAAAAAAATAAAAATATGTCACATCACTCCTCTTTTTGTTTAATGGCTGACAGTTTTAAAGGTCATTACATCTGCCTAGAATAGTCTGTGCCTCAAGTGTCTAATGATCCATCTCTCTCAATATTTTGGGCTCAGAGAAGTCTTCCTGGTTTACCTTCATTTACTCTTTCATTTACTCAGTAAATATTGGGAAAACACTTAGGTGCTAGGCAATTTTCTATGCAATTGGAATATAGCATTGAATGACAGACAAAAATATCTACACTGGTATTATTTATACCCTAACAGAAAAGAGATAATAATACAACAAAATAAATCTATTAGGAGGTAATCATTACTATGAAGCAAAGAAATGTATAGAAAGTTCTAGGGTTTGGGGATGCAATTTTAAAGAGGACCCTACTAAAAAGGTGACATTTGATTAAAGTCCTGAAAGAATTGAGTGGGCAAACCATGCTGATAAAGGGTGAGCATGTCAGCTATTTACAAATGAGCAAAGGCCCTGGCCGGAAGAGTTGTTGGTATATTTCACGAATATTAATGTTTCCAAAACACCAAAGATTCTGTCTAGGTCCTGTTGCTCAATGCACAGAAAGTCAATCACTGAGACAACAAGTATTGCCAGGGAAGTAGTCATTATTTTATTATACTCCTGGTGATGTCAGCAGAAGACAATTCCTAAATCTGTTCCTACCTCCCAACTAAAGTTAGGAGTTTATATAGCAGGAAAGGAATGTAGCTAAGTGTGGGGAATTAAGGAATTAAGGAGGGGTAAGGAAGAAGCGTTGGTCAACTGGAAGCAGGTGATCAGGCAATCATGATAGATGAGGTCTCTGCTGCCTTAATTGTCTGCATATGGTGATCTTGTTAGTTCAGTCCCTTGATACTGTCTGGGAGGCCTGAGAGTCAGTTTCCTGAGGAAGGAACTCAGATAAGGCAAATGTAAGTTTCAAACTTTAAACTAGGAGGATCAATTTCTACGTGTGTGTGTGTGTGTGTGTGTGTGTGTGTGTGTGTGTGTGTTTCCATAAACATCAGTTCTATGGGACCCTTGGGCTGGTTCCATTAAGAAAGCTAGTTTTCCTGGTGCTACGTGAAGTAGGGAGAGAGGAGTAGAGCGTGGGACAAGTGAGTAAGAGAAGTGAGGCAGATCAGGTAGGGCCAAGCAGAAGTACATGGTGAGACTTCTGATAATGTTCTGTGTGAAATCAGAGCCGTTGTAGCCTTTGAACTGAGGAGGTCCATCATCTGATTAATGTTTCCTCTGGCTCTGTGTTGGAATTAAACGGTACATTGGCAAAGGCGAAAGCAGGGAGACCAATTAGGAAGGTTCTCCAGTAGTTAATTGAGAGATTATGGAGTCTTGGACTATCATGGCAGCAGTGAAAGTGATGAGAATGGGTAAAATACTGAGTATGTTTTGAAAGTAGAGTTGACATGTTTTCTGCTGGTTTAGCTATAAAATGACACAGAGGAGTCAGAATAGTTCCAGAGGTTGTGTTCTTGGCAATGGAAAAATGTCATTTACTGTAAAAGGAAAAGACTGCTAGTGTAACAGGTTTTAGGAAGATAACCAAATTATATGGTATGTTTGAAAGTCATTTTTAATCCCTGGGCTTGGGTGAGGAAATGAAGAAGTGTACATAAACAAAACAGAAATAATGTGTTGATTCACTTCAACATCAAGAGGTATGCATATCAGCAAGTAAAAGCACTTTTCCCCCCACTCCCACTCTCCTACACTCTTATTCTCTGCAACATGTCCTTGTTTTGTTTTCTTAGTTGTTCTTATTTCTACCTGAAAATACCTTATTTTTTAGACTCACTTTATATCATCTTTTTGCCTCCACTGGAATGTAAGCTTTATGAAAACAGGAACATGTTCTATCTTTTCATAGAACCTGACTACTGGCAAGTCCTCCAAAACACTTTTCAAATGGATTACTTAATTTTCCAACCTATTTTTGGTTTTAACAGGAAAAACATTTCAAGCTGCAGAACAATTACGAACAGAAAAATAATAATTAGCATTTATTGAACGTCAAGCACAGTTCTTAGTCTTTACATGTAATAAATCTAAGCCACAGAACAACCCTGATTGGTTAGCATTATCATTATCCTGATTTTACGGATGGGAGAATTTTACAGATGGGATCATAGGAATACTAAATACCTTGCCAAAGTTTATGTGAAGAATGGTCAGAGAATTGAAATTATAAACCAAATCAGTGTCCTTTTGGCATTCAAGTGAGTGTCCTTTTACCATCATGTTGATAATTCTCAATGAAAAGAAATGATAATGATGGGGTCAATAAAAGCGTGACATCTACGAGGTTTGGAGATTTTCATGGGCTGACTCAGTTAAGGGAAGGTGTGTTGTCAGCTAAGAAAAAGAAAGAAGCATTACCATCCAGAGTAACTCTAGTATTCTGGGAATATATATTATACAGGCAAGAAGTTAATTAAACCTCCCACCAAAATACCCAGGGACAAAAGAAAGAAAATAAGGAAGAGTGAGCCAACATATTTAAATACACTTAATTTAGTATTACATTTTTTAGAAGAAAATTTTAACAAAAATCACTGAGGTCAACACTCTTATCTACAGATAGAGAAATTGTGGAAATTAGTTCATGTTACACAAGTAGATATTGACCCAAATAAGTGCTGAATTTTACCTCAACTCTCCCTTCTTCCCACTCAAGATTCTCCCGTGGTATGACATTGACCTTGTGTTTTCTTTAGAAGTAGAAGAAAACACATCAACTGTCCATCTTTTATTTTTTCTGACAGCTAAAAATATGTCTGTATGTGTTAATATAAGTCAGATTACTGTTTCAGCTACATAGGGTTATGCCTACCTGACAGGAAAACATACCAGAATTTATTTTTTTTGGAATAAAAAAACTAGAAAATAACCTAATATGTGCATGCTTTCTGATAAAAGATGATTACTCATCATCTTTTGTAAGATTCTACAAAAGAATGCAATTACAAATTTAAAAAAAACACCTGGTGAATGCTTGCATATAATAGTTACCATCATGCAAAACAATGTCACGTAGTCAATGTTGGATATTCAGGCTAGAGTACATATGAATTTTTAAAGTACAGTGCTCTCTGTGAGCAAACCATCTTTCTAAATGGATGTGTCACACCATTACTTGGTAGGACATGAATGATTATAGCCTTAAACTGGTAATATGCCTTCCTGACACAAATATAGAGCTATGATGCTGTATAATGTTGACATTTATAGCCACTTCTATAGACTTCACCTCAAATCTTTGAGTGGATACAGAATGTACTGTATATCTATTTTAAGGTGCCTGTATGTGGACAAGCACAGCAACCATTAAGTGATTAAAAGTGTTATAGGCTTGAGTATTCTATTACTGCATGGTTTTCAGGAGCCAATAGAGATACCGACTTGAACCAATACTTCTATGTGAGTGGAAAAGGGTTGCTATCACCCAGTAATGTTCTCAGATGAAAAATCCAAGTAAATATTCCCATCATTAGTTTCATAGTAAATACTGTTTGTGTGAGCCTTTGAACATTATTAGGCATATTAAACTCAAAAGCACCATAATGGTTGCATAAATGATATTGCATTTCTTCAGTGTTACAAGAAAAGGAGGCATTGTGGTTGAGAAAATGGTCAGGTAATTAAAGTGTAAGCTTAAAAATAGAAAGCATGTTTATTTAACCTGAGATTGATTAAAATGCTTCTAAACAGTTTTAAAAGTTCTTTGGCCTTAATAAAGAATTCTGAAGATACTTTCAATTCATATGGATAACAAAATATCATTTATGTATACATTAAATATACTTTGACAATTACCATCGTAACAGCTTATATTAACATGGCACCTACTATGTGTCAAATTTCTATGTCTTTACCTATACTAATCCAGGTAGTCGTCAGAAGAACCCTATGAGGTAAACACTGTTACCTGGATTTTACAAGCTAAGGAACTACAACAGAGAGATAAGTGGGCATGCTCATGGTCACAGAGCTAGAAAGCAATCTCTATCTACCATTGGTGATAACTGAAACGTACAGGACTTAACTTTTCTGTATCTGATTTCCTTCAGCGTGGAGGATCTCAGCTAGCAGAGAGAAGCTGAGGCTTGGTTCTGCCTTTTACTCTTTATTCCCACTGACAGTACAGGATGCTCATTAAGTTGCCTTATGGCTGGCTAAATTTGATATTAAAGTTGGTACTCAACATTGGTACTAAAAATTAATGGTTTCAGAATTAACTCCTGGGGGTGTTCTATGAAAATGAAAAAAAATTATATGTAGTATATTAAAGTAATTCATCCTGTATAATGGGATCCTGGAGTAGACAGGCTGTGCTAAGCACATTTATCTGAGAGCCTTGAGCCAACTGTTAAATTTCTGTATCTGAGGTATATATAATATCTTTATATATATCCTGTCTGTACACACATATATTAATAGGTACTGTATTGTTAGAAATTAAAATTTTATCTAATTTTATAAGTTCTTCCCAGTGACAGGTAATAACTCAGAGGTTCAATATGTGCGTGCGTGTGTGCATGTGTTCATGCAAGGGGTGACAGAGAGAGTTGAGACTCACAGAGACACGCACAACAGGAAAGAAATGTGTGGAGGAGCTAAAAGGCTGCGATTCCTACCCCTTGCCACTCTGCCATTCTTCCTTTGTTTCCACTCAGGTTTGATTAATAGAAAGTGGATCCCTTTATACTGCATTTTAGTCAGAGGCCTTTCTGTTGAGTGAAGCCATTGTGGGTAAAGTTTAGGTTTCTGGGTTGTGAACATCAAAGAAAGCACAGCCTCAGAGGTACCTAATGTAACAGACCATGCTGTTTTGCCTTCAGTTTAGGATTTATCCTCTGAATACTCACCTGTGTTTTATCAAAGATAATGTCAAATAATACAAACTGTGAGGCTGCCAACAGCTTCTTGTTGGACGGTTCTTCTGTTGTGGTTCTAAGAGTTCCTTTCTGGAGGTTTTATCACCTTTTCTTCTTATCATTCTAACTACACACTTCTCTCTGAGGTTTTATATAAGTGCAGATAAGCAAAAATTATATGTTCCTTTACAAACGTATCAAAGTAATGGATGTTTAATTATTTTAACCAATTTCATCATGAATTCAATAATCTTTTGAGAATTTCTGCCAAACTTACTCTGATATATTCCTCGCTCCTCTCTGATGAATCAACGAATGAAAATACTGTTGAACATGTGGTCTCATCAGAATTGTGTGGGGAGGAAAACATGCTTTTACACATGTAGCATACATCATATGGAAAGAATGGGTACCCTCTCCTCCACCAAAACACTTGAAAACAATACAATAGTAAGTTATGAAAAAGGAATTGTGACAAGTGTTAATTAAAAATTCCTTATTAATTATTACTTTGTTTTTCATTTTTAGCACAATTTAAAGCTAAGTGTCATTATGTGTTTGGTTAACAGTAAAACTGTATCTTATTGCAAAGGAGGTTGAGGCATATCTATAAATAAGGATCACAATCTCTAGTTAATTTTAGGCCCTGATTTTCAAAGCTTTAGCACTGCTGATGAATTTGTTTTTATTGTCACTGTGTGAGTTTTCAGGCACATAAAGTTCAGTTAAAGTCATTGAGCAGGCAGCTCTCTTTTGAGCACTCAACTCTTTTTTACAGTTGGGTGTCTTTTATAATTGAAATAAATTATTAAATCCACAAGCCAAGTTGTTAGATGTAAGGTTATTAATATTTTGTTTGTTATGTATTTTTAATGACAGATTTATTTAAGAAAAGAACAATGAATACCAAGGGTATATTGAGTTGAGTGACAGATAGCTCGGTTTCTTCCCTGCCAGGCTCAAATCACTTGGATGACTGGATTGGTGCCATTTTTCTTTATATACCCTTTGTAGTCAGCATAATGTTTGACTCATCACTGGAACTCTCTAATTAATGAATGAATGCAGAAAGGGATTCAGGTTCAGTTAAAGCATTTACTCACTCTGTGACCTTGAGTAAGTCACTAAATCTCTTTCTCCTCTAATATCATCATATATATTATGGGGTTGGTCTAGTTTATCTTTGGAGTTCCTCCAACTTCTCATGCAGTTTATTGGATTTTATGAGTCAGATTATATATCTAAGAAATAATTATGGAGGCTAGAAAACTACTGTACATATTTTCATTTTTGTGTTGTATTATAGAGAAAAATGAGTGTGTACTATGGTATGTTATGCAGTATACAAAATTTTCAGTATTTTGGATTTCAAAGTATTATCTAGAAATTATGTAATGTGACAAAGAAAAAGATAGAGACAGATATATAGAGATATAGATAAAGAACATTTGCTTATGTTTTAAGAATTAATGGTTGGTTTAGGAAAACCTTCCATAATCATAAAAAGATGAAAAAAGATAAGAGTTATTTACAGGATTCTTGAGTAGTAAAATCAATAAGAGAGGGCAGATGTAAGATAACTTATGGTCAATTGTAGGCACTTAAAACTGAAGACTTACTATTAAATTGCTAACTGAGGGCCTTGAAGTGTGATGTTGCATGAGATTGTGTGTAAGGATCATTTGCTCCACTTTATGAGTCTGTCACTTTAAAGATCAGAACTGTTACCCTGTGATGCTCACATTTGGTCTGGTTTATAGGACATGTGCCAGCTGGCTAGGCTAAATGAAAATGTCTACTTCTTCAACAAACTTGTAATCTATGATCCTTACTCTACTTTTCTAAGAAAGATTACTGTGGATGTATGGTAGCATCAATGTCTAGGAAACAGAGGTGATGTACATTACCTGGCAATTAAATTATAATAATATAAAGTTGACAAATTCACATGCTCCAGTGCCCAATGAAACTTTAGTCTCTCTGAGAATAGTAAGACCAATTATTCTATAGTTCTAAGAAAAATGGAACAAAGACACTATAATTCCTTCCAGAAATCTCTGTAGTAAAGATAAAGATCATTTTACTGGAAAGTAAGGAGGGATAATTCACTTATAAGAATTACAGTTAGCGCCCTGTATCCATGGGTTCTGCATCCACAGATTCAACCAACCATGAATCAAAAAAGATTTTTAAAAAGAACAACAGTAATAATACAGCAATAAAAATAACACAAATTTTAATATACAGTATAACTACTATTTCCATATCATTTACATTGTATTAGGTATTTTAAGCAATCTAGAGATGATTTAAAGTATACAAGAGAATGTGCGGAGGTTGTATGCAAATACTATGGCATTTTATATAAGGGACTGGACATCCACGAATTTTGGCATCCACAGGGGTCCTGGAACGAGTTCCCTGTGGAACCCATCCCTTGCGGATGACTATAATTTAGTAAAACTTTTACATGGAATGTAGAAAGCATACCTTTATTGAATAAAATGCCCTCCTTGAAAAGACTTTATTAATCCAAATTTTGATTTTCCAATTTGTAAATATGTAAAGAATAAAATTCTTAACTCTATTTGATCTATAGAAAGCATTAGCATATCAATTCAGAACCCTATCTTCCCCAGTAAACTCTGCAAATCCCCCAATATTTCATTTATTCGTTTAACTTTGTTCTTTTCCTCTTACACACACACATAGAAAATGACTACTGAAGTTTATTACAAATTTCAAAAGTCTTTGATTTGTGTACATATTTATGCACAAGGCCTTATTTATAAAGGTATGTTTCATTTCTTTTGGATAATTATGGAAGACTGGGCTGGCTAAATCATGTGACTTTTACACTTCTAACAAAATGTCGACATGTTTTCCATAGCATTTGAAACATTTTGTATCTCTGCCTGCTGTGTATGAGAACTCTAGTTTCTTTATATCTTCACCACCCCTTTGTATTGTCAGTCTTTTTAATTTTTTGCCATTCTGATAGGTATGTAATGGTATCCCATTGTGGCTTTAATTTGCATTTCCATAAAGCTAATGATGTTGAGTGTCATTTCGTGTGCTTATATTCCATATGCATATTTTCTTTGGTGAAGAGTCTATTTAAAGGTTTTGTCCTTTTTGAGCGGGGAGATTATTTTTTTAAACTATGGAATTTTGAAAGTTCTTTGTATTTTCTAAACACAAGTACTTTATCAGATTATAAATCAAATGATTTATAAATACTTTTTTCCCAGTCTGTATTTTGCTTTTCATTCTCATATTAGAATCTTTTGAAAAGCAGAATTTTGAATGTTGATGAGGTCCAACTTATCAATTTAACAAAAATTATTGTGCTTTTGCTGTTATACCTTTGCCTATTCAAAGAGTCGGGGAACTTTCTTTTAAGGGGCCAGATAATAAATAGTTTAGACTTTGTGCTCCATACACCCTCTGTGATATAGTTTGTATCTGTGTCCCCACTCAAATCTCATCTCAAATCGTAATCCCCATGTGTCAGGGGACGAACTTGGTGGGAGGTGATTGGGTCATGGGGACAATTTCCCCATGCGTTTCTCATGATAATGAGTGAGTTCTCATAAGATCTGATGATTTAAAAGAGTGTGGCACTTCCCTCCTTGCTCTTTCTCTCTTTTCTGCTGCCATATAAGATGTGCCTTGCTTTTCCTTCGTCTACTGCCACGATTGTAAGTTTCCTGAGGCCTCCCCAGCCTTGTGGAAATGTGAGTCAGTTAAACCTCTTTTCTTTATAAATTACCCAGTCTTAGGTAGTTCTTTATAGCAGTGTGAAAACAGACTAATACCGTCTGCCTCAACTAATCATCTCTGTAGTTGTAGTGTGAAAGCAATCACAAAAATATATTTAAATGAATGAGTATGGCTATGTTCTAATAATTAAAATTTGAATTTTACATAATTTTCATGTAATGAAGTAGTATACTTTTTCCATTCCACTAATCACTTAAAGATCTAAAAAAAGATTCTTAGTTCATACATAATAGAAATACAGGTAGAGGGTAAGATTTGTCCCATTGGCCATGGGTAGGTTGCCAACTTTTCTCCTAACCCAAAGTGACAATGATTTTGTCTTATGTTTTCTTCTACAAATTTTATAGTTTTAGGTTTTAACATTGTCTATAATTTATTTTTATTAATTTTGTTATGTGTTCCAAAGTACGAGTCTTAGTTCATTTTTGCAAATGACTATCTAATTGTTTCAATACCATCTGTTGAAATAACCATCCTTTCTCTATTAAATTACCTTTGCACTTTTGGAGAAAATCATTTGTTCAAATATTCTCCCCCAATACCATTGAGAATTACAGTTAAAAATGCATTACTAAATTGAAGTAGCCCAATGCTCTTCACATTTTAAAATGCTTTTTCTCTGTGTTCTTCATTTTTGGTAGTTTCATTTATTCCTTGAACTTTGTTCTTTTCCTCTTACACACACACACAGAAGATGACTACTGAAGTTTATTATAATAATACACATAGATGATTGCTATCCTTTCTCAAGCTCATGAAAATTTTCCTGTATAATATTTAATCTGCCACCATCCAATTCAATGTATTTTTCATATCAGGCATTTTAGTTTTTATCTCTAGTTTTATTTGGGCCTCCTAAAATATATTCCTTATTTGTATTTCAGTATTTGGACATATAGAGCACAGTTATATTCACTGTTCTATGTCCATGCCTACTAATGCTAACATCTATGGCAGTTCTGAGTTGATTTTGACTGATTGGTTTCTCTCTCTATTATGAGTTGTATTTCCTTGCATGCCATGTAATTATTTTTTTGGCTGCCAAACATTGTGAATTTTATCTTTTGCATGCTTCATATTTTTGTATTCTTATTAATATTCTTGAACTTTTCTATGGGACACAGTTAAATTATTGAAAAACAGTTTGATCCTTGTGAGTTCTGTTTTTTACATTTGTTACATGGATTCAGAGAAGTGTTTAATCAAGGTCTGATCATTCCTCACTCACACTTGTATGTATACACATACCTTGGAAATATTGTGGATTTATTCCAGACTATAGCAATAAAGCTAATATAGCAATAAAATGAGTCACACAAATGTTTTGCTCTCCCAGTGCATATGAAGGTTATGTTTACTCTCTACCATAGTCTATTAAGTGTGCAATAGTGGTATGTCTAAAAAACAGTGTACATACCTTAGTTAAAAATACTTTATTACTAAAAAATGCTGATGATCATCTCAGCCTTAGTGAGTTATAATCTTTTTGTTCGTGGAGGATCTTGCCTCAATGTTGATGGCTGCTGACTGATCAGGATGGTGGTTGCTGAAGGGTGGCACCCTTCAGCTGTGGCAATTTCTCAAAAGACAATAAGGTTCACTGCATCTTTCACGAAAGATTTCTCTGTAGCATATAATGCCATTTAACAACATTTTCTCCACCATAGAACTTCTTTCAAAATTGTGGTGAATTCTCTCAAACCCTGCTTCTGGTTTATCAACTAAGTTTGTGTAATATTCTAAATCCTTTGTTATTATTTCCTTTTTTTCCTATATTTTGAGACAGACTCTCTCTTTCTCTGTCACTCAGGTTGGAGTGCCGTGGTGCAATCTCAGCTCGCTGCAACCTCTGCCACCGGGTTCAAGAGATTCTCATGCCTCAGCCTGTCAAGTAGCTGGGATTGTAGGCATGCACCACCACACCCGGCTAATTTTTGTATTTTTAGTAGAGATGAGTTTCCCTATGTTGGCCAGGCTGGTCTCGAACTCCCAACCTCAGGTGATCTGCCTGCCTCTGCCTCCCAAAGTGCTGGGATTACAGGCATGACCCACCACACCCGACCTCTTTGTTGTCATTTCAACAACATTCATAGCATGTTCACCAGGAGTAGATTTCATCTCAAGGAATAATGTTCTTTGCTCATCCATAAGAAGCAACTCCTCATCCACTGAAGTTTTATCATAAGATTGTAGCACTTCAGACACACATTCATGCTCCACTTCAAATTCTAGTTCTGTTGCCATTTCCACAACATAGGCAGTTAGTTCTTCCTCTGAAGTCTTAAATCCCTCTATGTCATCCATAAGGATTGGAATCAACTTCTTCCAAACTCTTGTTACTGATGATATTTTGACATCTTCTCCTGAATCACAAATGTTTTTAAGGGAATCTAGAATGGTGAATTTTTTCCAGAAGGTTTTCCCTTTTCTTTAGCCAGATTTGTCAGAGGAATCACTATTTATAGCATCTATAGCCTTACAAAATATATTTCTTAGACAATAAGACAGGAAAGTCAAAATTACTCCTTGATTCATGGGCTTCAGAATGAATGTTATGTTAACACGCATGGAAAATCTTTGTATGTACATCTTCCTCAGAGTTCTTGGGTGACTAGGTGCATTGTCAATGAGAAGTAATATTCTGAAAGAAATCTTTTTTTGAGCAATAGGTCTCAATAGTGGGCTTGAAATATTAAGTAACCCATGCTGTAAACAGATGTGCTGTCATCCAGGCTTTGTTGTTCCATTTGTAGAGCACAGGCAGAGTATATTTAGCAAAATTATTAAGGGCCCTTGGATTTTCAGAATGGCAAATGTGTGTTGGTTTCAGCTTAAAGTCACCAGCTGTTGCATTAGCTTCTACTAAGGGAGTCAGCCTGCCCTTTGAAACTTCAAAGCTAGGTATTGACTTCTCCTCTTTAGCTGTGAAAGTCTCAGATGGTATTTTCTTCAAATATAAGACTATTTTGTCTACATTGAAAATTTCTTGTTACGTGTAGCCATCTTTATCAATTATCTTAGCTAGATCTCCTGGATAACTTGCTTCAGTTTTTCTATCATCAGTACTTGCTGCTTCACCTTGCAGTTTTATATTATGCAGATAGCTTCTTTCTTTAAGTGTCATGAACCAACCTCTGCTAGCTGTCAACATTTCTTCTGCAGCTTTCTCACTTCTCCAACTTTCATAGAATTGAAGAATGTTAGGACACTGCTCAGGATTGGGCTTTGGCTAAAAAGAATGTTGTGAATGGTTTGATCTTCTCTGCAGACCACTACAACTTCTTTCATATCAGCAATAAGGTTGTTTTATTTTTCTATCATTAGTTTGTTCAATAGATTAGTACCTTCAATTTCCTTCAAGAACTCCTTTTCATTCACAACTTGGCTGTTTGTCATTAAGAGGCCTATCTTTTAGCTTCTGTGGGCTTTTACACTCTTCCTCACTGAGCTTAATCATTCTAGTTTTTGATTTAAAGTAAGAGGCATGCAATACTTTCTTTCACTTGAACACTTACAGGCCATTGCAGGGTTATGAATTGGGTTAATTTCAATAATGTGTCTCAGGGGATAGGGAGGCCAGAGGAGAAGCAGAGAGATAGGAATACTGCTAGTGAATGGAGCAGACAATATTTATCAATTAAGGTTGCCATCTTTTATGGGCATGGTTCATGCTATCCCAAAACAATTACAAAAAGGAACATCAAAGATCTCGGATCATAGATCACCATAAAAGGTATAATAGTAATGAAATCATTTATAATATTGTGAGAATTACCAAAATGTGACACAGAAACATGAAGTGAGCAGATGCTGTTGGAAAAAGTGGTGCAGATAGGCTTATTTGATGCAAGGTTGCCACAAACCTTTGGTTTGCAAAAAACTCAGTATCTGTACAATAAGCTAAGCACAATAAAATGAAATATGTTGGCCAGGCATGGTGGCTCACGCCTGTAATCCCAGCACTTTGGGAGGCCGAGGTGGGCAGATCACTTGAGGTCAGGGGTTTGAGACCAGCCTGGCCAACATGGCAAAACCCCGTCTCTACTAAAAATACAGAAACTAGCTGGGCATGATGGTGCATGCCTGTAATCCCGGCTACTCAGGAGGTTGAGGCAAGAGGATCACTTGAACCTGGGAGGCGGAGGTTGCAGTGAGATGAGATCATGCCACTGTACTCCAGCCTGGACAACAAAGCAAGACTTCCTCTCAAAAAACAAAACAAACAAACAAACAAAAACATCCACCTAACGCCCCATGAATCTTGAGGTTTTCTAATTTGGCTGGTGGGAACAAGCATTTTTCCATGTCATGTGCGAGCACCAAATCCCATGCCTCTACTACATTTGGATAGTTCTTTCCCTGACCTCAGGAGATTTGGTCACACATGGGTTGATTGGCACTCTGCTAAAAACTGAAGGGGAACTTTTGCAAATGGCCTTTCTCTCTCTCTGTGCAGCTTTCTTCTCCCTGGTGTTCTCTGCAAAAAAACTCTAGTCATCTTGGTCTCCCTGGACTTTCATCTTCATTTCCTAAAACCCAAGAATTTTCTGAGCTCTACTTTGGTTTTCTGTCCTCCTGTTTCAGCCTAGAAATTCTTACAGCAGTAAAATATTGCACCATAGGGTCATCCATTTCCCTTTTGTTAAGGATCTCTGTTCTTTGTTGCCTGATATCCAGTGACTTGAAAACTGTTGTTTTAGATGGAGTTTTTATTTCATTTTGTTTCTTATTTTTTGTTTTGGTTGTTTCTTGTGAGATGGTAAATTCAGTCTCTGTTACTTTTTCCTGACCAGGATTCAAGGATTAAGTTTTGTTATGTATTAATTCAATTAAAGGTATTTTTTGTGTTTTTAAAAATTATACATTGGAGATGCCAAGACATAAAATCCTATAAAATAGTTAAGTGTGCTGAAAATTATTTTAACATGGAGTACATATATGGGATATGTAAATTAAATATTATAAAACAGGTTAAAGTAATATATGATTAACTGTCAAATTAAAGATGGTAAGGAAAAGAACTCAAAATAAGAATAATTTATTGATAATTATATGTTTAGAGACCCCTTCATGGGTCTCTACTATCATCATGAAGATGATAATACAGGAAAACTCTTGATAGCTGGTATGGAATATTTTCATAAAGTCCTTTTATGCAGGTAAATGACATTATATAAAGATGTGTTGTACAAAATGATTAATGAAGAGATTATTTTATGTCAGAGGACAATAAAGGATTAAATGTTTGAAGACATATGTAAATATCAGATTTTAGAAACTTTAAGTTTGTCTTTTTATATAAAGGCAATAGTAAACCATTAAAATTTTTGGCATTCATTTGTAATAAGATGGTGAATGCCACTTTGAACAAGAATAATCAGGAGGAAGTGACAAGGAAGCAAATACTAGACAGACTAGAAAGAAAACTATTATACTTAATCAAGGTGGATTAAATCATTGTAACAAAGATGAAAAGAAAAGACAGAGCAGCATTACATTATATAAATTTCCAGTAGTTGGTGACTAATTATATGCAAGAATGAGAATATGGGAAATTTTTAAGATGAATGAAATTTTAATAGAAAGAGCATAATGAAACTATCAACAGAAAAATGTAACATCCATAGCCTATAAAACTAAAATAAAAGAACCCAGGAAAAAGTAACGGCATCATCATAAAATATAAAAAATAAAAAAATTATGAAGTGTGCAATAAGTGCCAGCACTATTAAGTCTTTACATGGAATACTTCATTTAATCACTACAGCATTATTATCAGCTTATGTGATTGTCTTTCTGTAATTTAAAAGTAAGAAAATAAGTATTCTATCCAAGATGATAGGAAGTGATGGGGGCAGGATTTGAATTTCAATATATCCAACTTCAGAATCCAGTCTCTTATTACAGATAATTACTAAAACGTTATAGGCATAGTTTTAAAGAAAATGTATTGGGCAGGAGTTTGTCTAACACTGTATATGAAATAGGAAAATATAGTTGATTTGTGTGATATCCAGCCTTAAGGAAAATTTTTGATAGCCGTAAGTAACGACTACTCTCACAGTTCTGCCTATCAACAATCTAAGATAGTATTGCAATGTTCTACATATTTAAGTGTCGATTATATTAATTTTTCATTTGGGCATAATAATATTATTTTATTTTATTTATCATGATTTGGCCACTAAGCCAAATAAACAACAACAAAAGAATTTAAAAATATTAATGCTAGTACTTACCAGGACTTGATTCACAGTACATTTATGTCTTCGATAATTGGGATTACTTAACTTTCTTTATTATTTAGCTACTCAGTAAATCTAATTGACAAGAAACTACTAAAGTCTCAAATCTCATAATGCATTTTCTTTACACAATGGATTATTATTTTTTTAATCAGGAAGATAGTATTACTCCAGTTATATTTGTTTTCTGTAATAAAAGAGTTATAGTTAGTGTCACTATAAACTACTCTTACAGCCTATTTAGAATTGTCAAAATATCAAACTTATATGTAAAGTTATATATTAATATGTAAAGTATATGTTTCAAACTTATATACGTAAAGTTTGATATATTGACAATGCTACACACACAGAGACATACAACACACAGACATTCACAACACAGACATACAAATAAACACACAAACACACACACAAACTAATAAGCAGAGAGAAAATGGGGGGACTGAATTACTTAGTACATGCTATGTTACAGACACCATGCTAAACATTTTTATTTAGATTATCTCATTTATTACTTTAAACAATTATCTTTATTGTCTGAAATCTGCCCAATGTTACTCAGGTAATAAGCTTTGGAGCCAGATTTCAGCCTTTGATGTCTGACTTCAGAGTTCAAGTTCTTAACCACAATGTCATACGGCTCTGTACTCCAAGATATACTGAGTCACTATAGTGTCTGCCATTTATTTTAATAAAGGATATCCTGTGTGGTGAGGCCAATTTTTAAAAAGGGAACCTCTCAAATAAAATGCACGCCTGTTTCTCCTTACCATACAGCCATACCTGTTCTCTAGAGATCTCTGAGTTTCTCTTTCCTCACCTTCATTTCTGAGTTACCTGATTTGTGAGACATGGTTATAAAGCAAGGTAGCTGATGTTTCCATGAAAGTACCACAGATGTCTTCAGCACTTTTGTCTCCCTGACCACTCTAAATTAAATGCAATAGCAACAAATTCTGATTTTTGCTTAAGGTGATTTCACTTTTCATAGTGCTTGTCAATGATCTAGAGTCAAACCTGGTGGCTAAAAGAAATGACCAAATAAGAAATACCATTTAGGGTTAAAAATACATGAGTCATGGATTTTAAGCACCAAGGAAGTATTCTCATGTGGCTCATAAAATGTCTCTCATGGCGATGCAGAAAAGAATTTTCAAAAATATTTTGAGTGTAGCAACATTGTAGGACGAATGTACAGCCTTCTCAATCTTTCATTTTAAAGCTGCCACAATAATTTGGATTTATATATAATGGGAAAATTTTTGAGAGGAAAAGCTGATAATGTCACTTTTTAGTAATAAAATATATGTCTACTCCTAAAAGAGAGGGCATTTTGTGAGCTCACTCTGAGACTAAACAGAGACTAGTACATTACTAGACACAGGGGGTTAATAAATGTCTTTCAGTAATAAAATTGGATTTCATATTAATTGAACTGAATCACATGACCCCTCAATTTACATATTTAAGTATTTTCACTCCTCATGTTGGTGGATGTTTATGATGATTTCAGCAACTATTTTCACAGAATAATTTTAGTTATCTAAATCTTAAATATAAAATGTTAGGTCACTGGAAAGTAGTGTAAATTGAGAGTTAAGCATACAATATCAGAGGATACTTATTTGGAGTTGCAATCCTGACCTCTTTCACAAAATTGCATGAATGGAAATGTATTCTAATTTTTTATTCTCTAGGAAGCTCCACAGAATAGAACCTGCCATTAAATGATAGTCCGGAATATTATGATATGGGTGTTGATAAACTCTGTAAAAGTCAGTGGATGATGTTTAAGAAAAAATGGCAGGGACATAGGAAACTGAAACCAATGTGATATGGCTATTTTTTGAATACTAACCTTTTAAACTTTGAGTGTACTCAAGTAAAGAAGGGAAAATAAAATAAAATGTGGCTACCTCACTGCCTTAGAAAAGTTATAAATTCTTCATACCACGGAAGGAATCTTGTCCTATGCGGACAATTTATTTCATGGATAAATAAATAAAATAATGTTTTAAAATGTAAAACAAATTTTTATGTTAGAGGATGGCATAGTGTCATCTTAATAATTTTATGTTTAAATCTATGAAATTCAAAAAAAGTTGTCATCTGTCATTGAAATAGCAACCTCCTTCATATTCTAAAGGCAATCATATTCATATTGTATCATAATTTTACATTTTTAGTAGTAACTAAGATCTATTTATATGGTGACATGGTTTTCCCTACTTACAGTTCCTTTCCCTTCATTCATAACCTTTTTTTGTGTGTTTTATACAGTCTGTCTTTATACTTTATTCTGGTTGATATAAAAGACCAAAAGGTGTTCTAACATTCAACTTGCTCTGTGGGAGGTAGAAAATTCTTTTATTTTCTATCCATTTGAGGAGTTTGACTCTATCCTAAGTCAGTAGAAGCTGAGAGTAAGGAACTGAGGAGGTGGAAATGATTACAGAATTACAGTCAGGGGCAAAGTGGTGAAAGATATTGTATGTGAATGAAGAATACCATATGGTATTGATTTCATTTGTATGTCATGACTGCTTATTTTTCTAATACCCTTCTCTCCACATGTTTTAAGATATCTTTAAAAAATCTTCAAAATGTCTATATTTTCTGAATTTAGAATCCATAGAATCCTTGCTTGCTAATACTCTTCTAAAGTTTAGCTCTATACAATTGTTATTTTATGTCTCAAGTTCTGAATAACACTAGCATTATAAAACATCAGTATTATATGGTCCAGTAGCAATATTCATTTATTGTATTACAGGATTATGCATAGTAACATAGTAACACTTGAACTTATTCTTTTTTTATTTTATTTAATTTTTTTGAGACAGGGTCTCACTCTGTTGCCCAGGCTGGAGTAGAGTGGCATAATCAGGGCTCACAGCAACCTTGACGCCCTGAGCTCAAGTGATCCTTCTACTTCAGCTTCCCGGGTACCTGGGATTACTGGTATCTGCTACCACCCCTGGCTAAGTTTTTTCTATTTTTTTGTAGAGACAGGGTTTCACCATGTTGCCCATGTTGGTCTTGAGCTCCTAGGCTCAAGCAGTCCACCCACCTTGGCCTCCCAATGTGCTGGGATTACAGACTTGAGCTACTGCACCCAGCCTCTTGGCTTTAGTTTAAACTGTATTTCTTGCGTTTTAAAATAATTTTAATTGATGGTATTTGCCCTCCATACTCCTTATTGCTTTTTCTATTTGCTATTTCCATAATTATTATTTTCTGTCTATTGTTCACTGTCTTCTTCAAAAGCTTCTATCCCAGCACCAGTTATAAATATAAATATTATTTATATATTTTCTCTTTAATTCAAAAGAAAGATCTTAAAATGCAAAACCTGATATCTATAAAAAGGCAAAAAAAAAAAAGAAGAGGAAGAAAATAAAGGAGGAAGGAGGATATAAAATGAGGGAAGAAGAGAAAAGGAAGGGATAGATTATTAAATTAGAATAGGTTGTCACATATAGTTTTATTATTCCTACACATGAGTCAAAAAGATCGATTTCTTATACAAAAATATGAAAGAGGCAATTTAGTCCACATTAAAAAATTGATTTTTTTCTATATCAATTATCCAGGAGCATTTTAAAGAAATAACCATGTCATGCTGCTTTGATTAGTCTCTACAACATATTTAGAATTTTTTAAAATAAAGCAACTATTTTTTATGACATGAAGAAATGGAATTCTCACACCAGAAAGAAAGCAAGTGACTTTAGTACAGAGAACTTCCTCCATACATACAAATAGTTCAGATGACTCTTTGTGCACCTCTGTGTTTTTATGTCCAAAGTGACTAAGGGGAGTTTAAACTGGCTATCCCTTCATGTATTTCTGCCAAATAATAGTATGAGCTCATTCTGTGTGGGTTTTGAACCAGACTTACTTTTCTTTTCCTTGCTGATTTTCAAACTATTGAACATCTTTAGACCATTTTCTTCTACACTGGCAAACTGTTGAAATCTGTAACTAAGAGAACTCTTAGTCTCTGTTGTATCCCCAGCCCCCACTTCGCTACTCACTTGGTGTGGAAATTTAAAGGTCCTTGAATCTTTGGAACCAACTGTGGTTTTCCCTCCAACTTTTATCACCAGCACTTTCACCAGACAGCATTTCAGCAACAAACTCCCCACTTCTTTTCTAGTCCAGTATGAACTGTATTTCAGCCTCGATTTCAGCCATTCTTACCCTCTACCATTTATTCCCAACGTAGACATGGTGATATTATTTGTTAAAATTAGTCAATTGTTGTTTCTCTCCACTTCCCTCCAATGGTTTTCCCATTTATTCAGAATTAAAGCCAAAATCCTTACAGGACTTTGACTACCATATACAATTTGACTTTTGAGACTCGTTACTCACCCCATCAGTCCTACCACTCGAGGCACACTAGACCCCTTGATGTTCCTCAAATATATCCTCACCTTTGGGATTTGCCCTGGCTGTTCACTAGGCCAGGAACAGTCTTTTCCAGGTGTCTGTATGACTAATATCCTCAGCTCCCTTAAATGTTTGATCAGATCAGTGGTGAGCTGACTTTTATTCAAAATATTCCATTCACATATCCCTTCTTTATCTTCCCAGTGTATTTTTCATTTTTCATGTTAATTATTATATCATACAAACAATGTAATATGCATATTTATTATGTTCATGATAGTTTGTCTATTTCCTTTTCCTCTCTCCCTTTTCCTGTTTTCTGCTCACTGCATACTACAACATAAACTCCAAAAGGGAGAGGTTCTTTCTTCTACTTACTGATTAATCCTAAGCACCTTGAAAAGATCATGGACCACAATTGCCATTCAATACATATTTAAGGAATTTATAAATGCAAGTATTTCCAGAGGTGTCATTAGGTTAATAAGCATTTTATTTTGATGTTGGCCTTCTTTAGCCATGCAATTAAAAGATTGTTCATTTCATGGATTATTTTTCAATTTTATTTCTGATTATTTAAGACTGTGTTGGCATAGCAATTTTTATGTGATCCATGAATATCTCCTGCATTCGGAATTGTTCCTATTGTTAAGGAATTCTCCATAGATACTTGCAATACTTTCCATATTCTCACAAGTTTTTTCTTTTTGTTTTTTAACCTCTTTCTATTAAAATCATCTTCCTATTCTGAATACATATTTCAGTCTTATAGTTTTATACTTTTCAACATGATGAGTTATTTATCATAGCAAATAAAAATTATCATTTAATGAAAAATGTAACGGCCAAGAAAAATATTATTTTGCATGGCAAATCATGCCATCTGTTAGCAAAATACAGAATTGACAAGCTTTCACTCTAGTTTTATTCTGTGAAGACTTGCACATTTAAAGTTTACAAATACAGGCACTTTTTTGCATCCACCTGTAAGGTAGAAGAAGTTACATTGGATTGATATTTAGAAAATCTTAAATTAAAGTTGCTTAGTGTTACTATATTCTTATTATGTAATATGAATATGTCATACCTCCAAAAGGTATTCTTTAATATCTCCTTTACCTCTAAAATTCAGTCATTCTATATTTGGGTTTCTTGATTGTAAGGGGAAAAAACCTATAATATGTTTTCTGAACTAGTGTGTGCCACCAATTTTAGTGTTGACCCCATTAACCCCTTGGCTGCTTCCACTTTCACATTATCGCTTTCCCATGTTTGACTCCAGTCTCCCGACTATGTGCGTTCAACCAGACTACTTGGCCCTATTTTATAATACAGAGAATAAAATTTTGTGTTAATCAACTTCCTTGAATGTTTTCCTTATTTTTCTAACATGTTATCGATGAAACACCAGCTTAAATATCATACCGAAGTAATTTTTATGGAAAGTTCTATTTCCTAGAGTAGGAGAAGTAAACAGAAAAGAAAAGGACTACATATTATGTGCAATGATCATAAATGGAGTCAATAGGTAAGCCTTCCCAGATGTGGCTATAAACGTCTCATCGTCATTGTCGTCATCATCATCATCATTACTGTCCTTATCATTGCCAGTGCTTTCTGATTGCTTACTACATTCCAGGCACTGTTCTCAGTACCTTAAATTTAATAATGATTAGTTTCTACCACGGTGGTACTGGGGAGTTAATATTTCAGTCCATTACACAAAAGATAAACCTGAGGCACAAAGAGATTAGGTAATTTTTGAAAACGTATATAGCTTGTAAATAATAACACCAGAATTCTAACTGAAGTGTCTGGCTTGAAGCCCATGTTCTTAATTACTACGCCCATTTTTATTTCATCTTAGAGCAGGAAATTTAAGTCACCTCAAGACAAGATAATTAACTCTATTGAAATCATCATGAAAGACCAAAGTAGAAAGCATTAGATGATGCTATGAATATTCTGTGGCTACAGTAGAATTAATGTTAACAGTGGCTTTCAGAAAATTTAATTTTCTATTTTAACCATCTTAACAAACTTTCTCTAAAAGTATTAAAATAAAATTTTGAATAACAAGTTATAGTTGAATGTGGCCCAACCTTCTAGAAACAAAGGAATGGGCTGTACAATGGCAGTAAAATTAATGATAGAAATCTCAGCTCTGATACATTACCAGACTCTCTGGCTTCTCCAGGCTGGCTTACCTAAGCTCAGTCTAGCCATCCATTCATAGCAAATTGTGAATAATGCTGAGAAAAGCCCTGTGGATTTGGATCTGTTTGGTCAGAACCGTGCTGTGGTTTGGCTAGCTTGAAAGCAAAGAGCAGAATTCTGTCTTTCAATACTTGTGAAGTGGATACTTGCCAACTATGAAGTTGGTCCTTCGAATTGGATATAATTCTTTGTAGATGAAGCACCTTTCATGGTTTCTTTGGTTAGGGATAAAGAAAAATGTCTCAGAATTGAAAACACACATTAACATAGTTCTCTGTTATTCTCACATTTCAAAAATCAGACATAAAATTATCAAATTTAAAAGAACACTAATTTGACATTAAAACATAGATGAATATATGCATAATGATATAAGTTATTACTTTTTGCTAGGTTTCAGGAAGTTTGATAAATTCCTATTCCTCATGTGCATTGACTATGGTATAGGTTTTCAAAGCTAGTTCTCTAAAACAAAAATGTTGAAAATAAAATCTAGCATAACCATGGAAACCAAGAAAGCCTAAAATTGTCTTGAATGTTTTCAAGAAGGAAACATAAACTTCTTTGTAGCCAGCATCCATAACTAGTTTTGGGGAAGCCTTAAGATTTTCAAGCGCAGAGTCTTGGCTAAAAGGATTGAGTTGCTAAACCTAATAAGGACCAAATAAATCAAAACCCATGAAATAAATTAATAAAAAAAGACGAAGTCTGAAGAAATACAAAGTTTAAAGGCTTAATTATTCAGCTGGTAGCATTATTCAACTGGTTAAGTGTGTGGAAAAAGTCAAGAGGCTAACCACATACAAATATTGTCTAAATGGTATATATATGGTTACCAGAATAGTAACAGTGCTAATGTTTGTTGGATTAGGATCATCTCTCTCTCATTTTATAATTTGAGACAAGGTCTCTGCTGCTCAGGCTGAAGTGCAGTGGCGCAATCACAGCTCACTGCAGCCTCAACATCCCAGGCTTCTACCTCCACCTCCCAAGTAGCTGGGACAGCAGGCATGCACCACCATACCTGGCTAATTTTTGTATTTTTTTGCAGAGACAGGGTCTGTTCATGTTGCCCAGGTTGGTCTTGAACTCCTGGGCTCGAATGATCTGCCCACCTGGGCCTCCCAAAGTGCTTGGATTACAGACATGAGTCACTGTTCCAGGCCTAGATCATCTCTTTTGGATTGTTTACCTTTTTTCCATGTACTTCCAAAGTTTGGTTTAATATGGTAAGTTTAACCATATAAGTGGAATAAAATGTAGCTGACAGTTGTGATTTACGATAGCATCTAGAAATTATTGCTATTGAAAATTGACTCTTTAGAGTGTAATCATTAAACGCATAGTGATTGCCTGAATCATCTAATGAGGTCTTGGTGATTTTTTAATGTTCTTTGCCAATTAAGCAACCATTAAGTAATGGTTGAGTGTGCATTATATACTTGGCTTTGTGATAAGTTGTGTGAAATATTTAAAAGAAGGATAAAATGGTATTAAGTCTCCCTTTTCAAAGAACAAACTGTAGAAGAGTACGAAAAAATCCTACACATGAAAAGTAGTACATAACTGTGTATAAGTAAAGCTAAGTTGCATGATACAAACAGTTTGATTATATGACATTAATTAATACATGTAAAATAACACAAAGATAAGAGCAAAATAGTTTGAGAAGGGTTAGCAAGGTCAACTGGGACCATCAGAGATGAAAACATAACAAGAAATTAAAAAGGGAAGCTGGCTATAATAGTGTGTGGGTGGGTGGTAGAGGCAGGAGTGCAAGAAGAACATCAGGAACCCTGGCATAGGAAGCAGCTGATTATGCTGAAGTGACGGTTATGCTAAGAATTCTGCTTGCACAAGTTAGGTAGAAACAACTAAAAAGGGGACACATTATTTATGGACTACAGCCAAGGGAATTTTTTTTTTTTTTTAGTTTTCCAATAATTTGCAACTACAGATTTTGAGTAGAGAAATGACATTCAACTCAGCAAACATTATAAATCCTCACCTGGGTTATAGTTGGTTATAGTCAGTATAAGTGGGGTGTTGAGATTTTGAAATAGTGGAAAGGTTTGTGTAAAGGAATCTGGGAATAACAATTTTAATGAAACTCGGTAATCTTTTGTAGATAACATTGAATTAACGAAGAAGATTCATACTGAATGCATATATAAAATGGATTAGATGACAAAGGCAATGGATTCAGGAAGATATTCAGTCTTTTCTTAGACTACTTTTCCATTATGATTGATCACTTCTTCCTAACTACAGCATCTGGGAGGCAAACAGAGGAAGATTCTGAGAAGTGTTCTAGAAGTTGGACAGTAAAATGAGAGAGTGGTGTCTTAGAAGCCAGGATTAGGAAAGCTTTAAAGATGAAGAAAGTAGTGAAAGTATCAAATGTTGCACAGCAGATCAAGTAGGCTGAGTGAAGAAAAAGAGCCTTTGGATTTAGCAACTGGGAGATTATTTTTGACAGTATCCAAATGGTTTCATTGAATTGGTAGGAGTTAGAGAATGAATGGGTATAAGAAAGTAGAAAGAGAAAGAATAGGATACTCTTTCCACAAATATTTTCAAGACGAAAACTTAATTGTTACATCAGCATTTTGATACGGAGAAGGGGAATAGGAGAGAATATTGTTTTGTTTGCTTCGTTTAGGAAAGTTGTATCTTGAGCCTATTTAGAAACCTCTGGAAAAGAGATTAACAAATGTGAGAGACATCACCTTTTATGGTGTCTAACATGTGAGAAGTAGAGAGGGTATGGGAGAGGGAAGGAATAATTCTGAGTTTTAGCCTCTCAAAGTCATGAGATGTTCTATTATTTCTGCCTTGCACTTTCAACTTCCTGCCATGTACCCACACAGGCACACACGCTCACATCTAACAGTACTTTTACTAGCCTATCCCATATTGGGGCACCAGAGCACTAAGCGTAGCTAGATTAATCTACTTTACTGTTGTTATTATTATTCTAATTCATTTATTTGATAGGCTTCAAATAGAAATATTTTTGGTTTCAGGCCAAACCTATGTTCCCTAGGTCAATAGTAATATGTCGAATTTCTAAACATTCAAGAAAAAAATGTTTTTAGTAAATAATTAAATACAAATTTAAAGAAGACCTTAAGAGATCTTTGGGCCCATTCCTTCTTTCTTCTCTTTTCACAATAAAATGCCACCCCCCACCCCCCACACACAAACATTCCATTTCATAATGCCATTCTCATATCCTGTGGTTTTTATTACTACAAGTTACAAATCTTGTGAATTAAAACTTGGAAGCAAACTAAATGCATCACCTCAGAATTAAGATTCTTATACCAAGTCAGGTCTCTGATGGAAAACTCACAGGGTGAGCTCCACATGCCTTTAAACTCTCTGTTCTCTATAGAAAACAGTACAATTGTTAAAATGTTCACTGACTTCTCTCAGCAGAGTTTTTAATGAGCTGGTACCTGTATAGCCCTTTGAGCAGTTCAGGCCAGGGTTCTTTATATATAAAGCAGACATATAAAAGTAAAAGGCAAGTGAGTAAAAAGCATAATAGTCCATGTGAGTACTAATTGTAAGGGATAGGAAAAAGATACAATATAATAGCTTTAAAGGAAAAATAGAAATTGAAGACCTTATCACAATTATCCTTATAATGCACAGAATAATGTCAGACTGCTTTGGAAAATTCATTAATTTTTTTTAAAGTTAGTATTGATACGAATTTTTGGGGTATATCTTCTCAATGATAAGTAGGTTAACTGAAAAGCACTTTGATTTAGGAGATGAAGTCTAATTTAAATTATGTTAACCCCTTCCTTTCTTATTGTATACTTAGTTTTTACATTTTTTCATAGCCTGGGTCTTACATCCTCCAAATACCTTACCTATTCACCTCTCCAAAAAACAGGGACACAGTCTGTTAAGTAAGTCTAACAGAATATAGATATTATATATACCATGCAATTTAATAGATACTCTATATAGATGTCTATATAGATATTCATAATATATATTAATTAGAAGTAAACTCCTAAAGGTCAATAAACAAAGTGAATTCCCTGATAATTCATCACCTCATGACTTGTCATCTGTTTAACTATAAGAGCTAGATAATTTAATTGGAATGCGGATGTTTTATGACAAATATATGAAGTATCAGCAATAGTAAAAAAGCAAATTTTAGTCTTCTGAAGCTGTCTTAGCCTGTATTTTTTTGAAGCACAGTGATTTGTTGCACAGTCTTTGAAGCCAAAATGCCTAGGTTCTTATCCTGACTCTGCCATTTCCTAACTAGTTACTCCACCTTTCTGCTATTTGGTTTTCTTATCTGTATAATAGTGTTCATAGTGGTACTGCTATAAAGGTCTGTAATGAAGATTAAATAAAATGCTGGAGCGATACCTGGCAAACAGTAAGCATTTTACAAATGGTTGCAGTTATTATTTAAGAAATTATTTTAAGGACAAAAAGTGTATACATATATGATGCCCCTCCCTATGTTATAAAATTAAATAAAATGCATTTCAGATTATGGATTACAAAGAGAAGAAATATAAAATGAAAGCATTTAACGTCAACACATTTCCCTTTGTTCTCCTAACTATGAAACTTGATAAAAGAGTGCTGACATTTTGAAGAAATGGACTTTTTGGTGAATATTACAATTTCTTTGTTCTTGCTTTTGACATTTACTATTTCAACCAACAATCTAAGTGAAACCATGCAAACTTTGGTGCCTAAAATAGGGACAAAAGGTGGTGGTGTGATTTGAGTAACAGAGGAGGATTTTAAAATTCTGCATTTTGTTTCCATATATATCATGTACTTAGCCTGGAAAGAAATAAATTATAATCATAATTGAGTCAAGATATTTTCAGAATTTTGAGACATGCTCAAGTTTAACATTCTCTCCAGTGCTAGCCAAAGGACCCAATGGATTTAGAAGATTCATGGTCCAAGCCATCAACTGTCTCTTAAAATTCATGTTTATTATTCTGGCTTAGTGAATAGGGATTGTCTTTCTTCAGCAAATGCCAGCTCTGGAATTGTTTATTGAGTGTCTACATCATTAAAACTTCCAAGGGACTCTTTGACCTCAAGCGTATGTTTCCTTGGCACAGACACTTGTATTTTCAACACTTCGGAGCTGGCAATATAACTTGGAATATTTTGTATTTAATGTCTGAATAATAT
Source organism: Homo sapiens (assembly GCF_000001405.40). Lineage (NCBI taxonomy): Eukaryota > Metazoa > Chordata > Mammalia > Primates > Hominidae > Homo > Homo sapiens. The sequence continues at coordinate 89,311,880 of NC_000003.12, forward strand.
CCTGGGATTTGTTGTCCAATGTGAAATGGCCAAGAATATTGAAGAGTGGCTTTGAGGATGACACAAGTAGGTATGATTTTGTTGAAAAGGTGAGAAAAGAGGGGCACAGAAAACAAAAACAAAATCCTTAAAGAAAATTAAATAACAAATAAAAGACATAGAGGTAGAAGTATAGAACCTATATAGTTTATCAAATCTTTGCACCTCAGTTTTCTATGGTCAGCACATTACTCCCTATGTATTTCCTGGTTTCACTTCTTTCAGGACTTTTGGTCACATATATTTATAACCTCTGATAATAATATAATCAAAATGTAATGTAAACAATATTGCTGAAGGACTTAGTGCACTTAAAGATTATAATAATGTTTGTCTTTGATTTTTATTTATTAATTCCATGCATTTCAAGAAAACTCTGAAGTTGGGGAAGACGTTTTTTAGAGAAAGCTTAAAATGTGAGAGTTCATTCGCAGTTACGCAATTCTGGTTTTTTTTTTTTGTAGATTTATTAAGATTTTCTACATACACAGTCATGGTTTATGAAATAAAGACAGTTTTAATTATTCCTTTCTGATCTTATCTTTCTTCTTTAAATTGTGTGCATTTTGCCTCAGTTTTTTCCGTTTTTAGCTTGATATATTTATAAGTATTATTTTTTCTTATTATATTGATATTTTCATTATACCCGTTATAGTTTCTTTTCTTTTCAATTTTTATTTTAAGTTCAAGGATACATGTGCAGGTTTGTTACATAAGTAAACTTCTATCATGGGAGTTTGTTGAACAGATTATTTCATCACCCAGGTATTAACCCTAATATCCATTAGTTATTTTTTCTGATGCCCTCCCTCCTCCCACCTACCATGCTCCAGAAGGCCCCAGTGTGTGTGGTTCCTCACCATGTGTCCATACCTTCTCATCATTCAGCTCCCACTTATAAGTGAGAATATGCGGTGTTTGGTTTTCTGTTCCTGTGTTCGTTTGCTGAGGATAATGGCTTCCAGTTCCCTCCATGTCCCTGTAAAGGACATAATCTTGTTATTTTTTATGGCTGCATAATATTCCCTGGTATATATGTACCACATCTTCTTTATCTGGTCTGTAATTAATGGGCATTTAGGTTGATTCCGGGTCTTTGCTATTGTGAATTGTGTTGCAGTGAACGTATGTGTGCATGTGTCTTTATAATAATATTATTTGTATTCCTTTGGGTATATACCCAGATATTATTATTTTCCTTGAATCCGTTTTGTGCAATAATAGAGTTATGCCAATTATTTTATTTTACAATATGCATAGTAATCTTCTTTAATCTTTCCACTTTCAAATTATTTTTGTTTCTAAATTTAAAGTATCTATCATTTCTTACAGATAGCATATAATTGGATCTTGATTTTTAAATTTAATCTGACAAATTCTGCTATATGTTTGAAAAGTTTCATTCCCTCACATTTAATTTAAACAGTACATTTGGCTTTAGGTTTGCCATTTGCTATTTGTTTTCTGCTTCTCTCAATGATGTTTCGTTCTTCTGTTTTTCCTTTAATCTTTTGTTTTTGTTACACTGTTAGTTTAACAAAATGATTAGTAAATATGTAATTTTCAATCCTCCATTGACCTTCTTGCATTATCTGTTCATATTTTCTCTAGTGATTTCAATGTTTATCTGTAACTTATTACAATATACTTCAAGTGGGCACTAAATTACTTCTGGTTAAATATAGGAAATTTTCATAAGTCTATGTCCTCTGTAGGTTCCATGCTGTTGTTTCCATATGTATTATATCATATATTTTATAAAGCCAAATATACAGTCTTATGTTTACTTTAAAGTAGTCATGTGACTTTTAAACAATTTGAAAAGAGATATATTAGTGAATGGTAACAAAAAGTGAATAAAAGCAAAAATTATCACTTCCCCATTACACCTGTCATTCCAGCCTCTAAGTACTACATATTGTTGTTTAAAACTGTCAGCAGTAAAATAAAAAGAAATATTCTCTTGTTATCATGGCAGGTATATATTTTTTATAAAGTAAACTATTCTTTTAAGAATTTAAAATTTGATTTTTTTAGTGGGAATAACTTAGAAGTAAGTTAATTTTAATATTAATTTGATGCTGTATGTACACACACACATGAAGAATTAATGTTGTGTAATACTTTTCATTTGACTAGGCATCTCAACATGCCCTTGTCCATTTGGTTATATTTGAGGTAGCTGCTATCATGGAATTTTTCACAGAAGTCAAATATGTTTTGAGAGGTCAATTTCACTATCTCAAATCATATAGTCAAATTTCAAATTTTGTCAAATTTAGTTGCTATCTTCACCATAAAATAATCAGCACAAGGTCAAATTAATGTTTGCCCCTATATAAAAGCTACTTTTCTATTTTCTAAAGTTTCTGATCAGTATTTTAGGTTTTGTTTCTTCTCATAGTGATGTTAGAGGTATGTGACTAACTTTTTTATATAAATTATGAGGATCACATGGGGGCAAATAAGATTTTTTTTTCAAACAAAGATCTTTAATAGTGTGGGAATCAATGCTAATGTGATACAAAGCAATCTATACTGTATTAATCAAAGATCCAAAGCACCCTGATTATAAAGAGTGAAAGCTCATGCAAATAAATTATGAAAGAATACAAATGAAGACACACTTACATGACTGCCTCATTTCCAGAGCCTGGTGACAGTCCTGCTGTTCTCAGCATGCTGCTTCATGATGACCTCATCAGTAACATAAGATGCATTCAGCTATCTGGCACCTAGATGGCAGCCTACAAAATCTAAACACAGTGATTTCAAATGGACCATAAAGCCTGGCTAAAATCTTACAAATTAGTAATAGAAATACCTGTTACATCATGACATCATTTGGGTACACTCAGCAAATTATTCCCTGATGGAAATTATTTGAAAAAAATATATATGCAGTTATGCGTTACTTAACAACGGGAGTACATTCTAAGAAATGCATCCCTGGGTGATTTTGTCGTTGTGCAAATATCATAGAATGTACTTACACAAACCTAGATAGTATAGCTTACCACATACTTTGGCTTTATGGTGTAGCCTTTTGCTCCTAGGCTACAAATCTGTACAGCATGTTATGGCACTGATTAGTGTTAAGGAAATAATAACACACTGGTATTGTGTATCTAAACATATCTAAACATAGAAAAGGTATAGTAAAAATATGGCATTATAATCTTATGGGTCCACTGTCATGCACGCTGTCCATCATTGACTGAAACATTGTTATGTGGTATGTGACTGTATATATTACATATATGTCATATATATTTTTTATATATATGGTTTGTGTGTATACAATGTGTGTGAATGTGTGTATGCAAAATACTTATTCCATTTGTTAAAATATAATATCTTATAATGACAGTGTATGCCTACAAAGATGAAGGTGAATAGAACAGCAGTTAAGGAGCACGGTTTGTTTCTGAATCAACTATAGTATGTGATGAGACGTGGTGTAAGTGCTACAGTTCAGAGCTCAGGGAACATGAACACTTCAGGGCACCTTCAGGGATTAATGAAAGCTCTTTTTGTCCTGTGGATGATAGCGATTCATACAAATGTGTTACCATTGATTTGGCTTAAAAATCACATTTAATCATTTTTTAGGAGAATCTTCCCTAAAGCTAAATAAATATCACTATCCCTTTTGATTTAGGATGCTTGAAATCTGTGAAGAGAAATTTCCTTTTTAATAAAAAAAAAAAAAAAGCAATCTTGTCCACTTAACCATCTCAGCTTAGCAGTTCTGAAAGGGTTCTTTTTCTTCAGGCCTCATGCTGGATTTGCCTTGCAGTTAGTTTCATGGAGAAAAAGCAACAATGCTAAAATTATAGGTGCCAGTAAGTCTAATTGTGATAGATGATGCATGGTTTCAGAAAAGGGATTTATTCTTATTTCAGAATGTCAAATTTAGTTGACATTATTCCTTGAGAATGGAAAGTTAGGACCTGGATCCCCTGAATCATCTCTAAAGTATTATAAGAAAAATCTGTTCCCTGAGGTACTTATCAGTCAAGGGACAGCCTGAGTGTGGTGACCCACATGTAGAGTCAGGGAGAATGGATGAATCATAAAAAGGTCCACTTGAAATGCCTTTTTAAATACTTAATATAAATGTAAAAGGCACTCCTTGAAAAAATAACGCAAAAAATAAGTTGCCATAACCCACAGCTTGCCTGGGACAGAATATGAAAAAGAAAGCGTTCATCAGTGCTGTTTCAAATACTATAGCTGGCACGAAAGTAGGCACAGGAGGAGAAAATCACCCTGAATTATAAATGTTGTGTGCTATTTTCATGGCACCAGGTGGGAATGTTAACACTTAATCAGTCTCTCTGGCACTATTTCCCATCCATATTGCCAGCTTTATCACCATGAAAGATGCTTTGATCCTCTTCTGTGGTGTCAAAAACAACAGGCCACAGCATCAATGACATTCCAATCAGTGGGGCATCACTGCGCATTAGTTTCTATCAGATATGACGTTTCACTAACGCATTTTGACAACATCTGGTACAATACAGAGGTCTTTCAGAGTATACACTGTATATATATGTGTGTGTGTGTGTGTGTGTGTGTGTAATATATATATATATATATATATATATATATATATAGAAAAGGGTATATACCTTTTTCCTATGCCCTAAAAAGGAGATTAATCACAAAGCACTTCTCTTTTACTGTTGTAGATTTTGAAAGCAGGAGGAAAAGTTCTCTTTTAAATATGCTACAGTTTTCTCTTTGGTGATACTTAATGCTCTCTTATGGAAAATGAAATTCTTAGATTTCTAACATACTGGAGAGTTACCTTATGTTAAAACAATGCCTTTGAAAATAGGCATTGTTAAGATTTGCACGGAAGTATCAGTTGTGAAATATAACTGTTGTGTAATGGCAAAATCTTTCTTTTAGTAAGTACCTCCTTTGTATCAGACACTTTATGAATGGTCATTTCAATGTTCACAACCACTCTTTGAGGGAGATATTTTTGTACTCAGTATAAATATATGAAAATAAGTTCAGAGAGGCTGAATAACCTTTCTAAGATCACTTAGAAAGTGTCCAAACTCTGATGCTCCCTGAGATCCAACTTACCGTACCATATCCATCCTACTGCCACTCAAGGCTGCCCTCCTTTTTAAAATCTACTTAACCAAACGTTAAATTATTCTATAATTAGACAAATAGAAATTTTTGGCCATAATTAAAGGAAAAATGTTGCAACATGATATCAAATGATGGTTATAGAAAATCAGATTAAAATAGTTCAAAACATCTCAACAATTAGATTTTTCTCTTGGTTTGTCATTTCTTTTATTGTTTACTGATAAACTCACTAGGTTTATCAGCTAGCAGGAAGAAAGACAACAGGACTTTTCCTATTGATGTGGAGCAGATGCAAGATAGATCTGGAGCACAGGAAAATTTCAGATCTGGATGTGTTTAAATCTGGCCCTGCACTGCCAATAGGAAGAGCATGACATTACTGGCAAATGGGGGTGGAGAGGGATATGTGTAAATAGAGGGATAAAGCAAAGTAGCAAAATATTATAAAATGAACTCACAACATACTCCCTGATTCCATTAAGGCCAGTCTTAATCTCTATCTATACCATGATAAGCTGTATCTTGCCATATATTGACCTGAAAAGTTAGACCTATGATATATTGTAGGTAAAAAACAAATAATCATTTTTGCAGTATAACATCAAAGAAATGTTAAACCTTCCTCATTTCCTGCCCCAAATGTACACATTTTAAAAAGTAATGCAATATATTTATATTAATATATTCTATCCATTCAATATATAAAAGTTAGCCTAGACACTTTTATGGAATATTTTTACAATAAAAAAGTTAGAAAGAGAACATTTTGTATTAGATCAAAAATAATTCAAAGAAATGAGGTAATGCATTCTTTTGTATCACTTCTACATAAGCAATAGTCTTTGAGGTTTCTAAGTGGCTTAAAAAGAGATTTGATAAGTTAAAATATTGTCTTTTCTCATTTTATAGCCAGAGAAAAATAGTACTTGTCTGGAATATATATAATATTGCACACGGGGTTAATTAGGTTAGGAATGAATTAATTTGTAACAATTTCCGTTATTTGACAGGCATCAATAATATAGCAGCATATTACATGCGTTCCAGACATCAGCATACTTCCATGACCCAGTCAGATTCAATTTGGAAAAACCTTGGATCATATGAATATTTTATTATTGATTTTTGTAACATCATATTTTACAATCAGTTCTGGTCATAAAAGACCATAATAACTTGAAGAGATATTTTAGAAAGCCATATTGTTGATGAATGGAAAGTATGCTTTCTGCAGTGAAAAGAAAACTTACTGTCTTTTTCCTGAGACAAAATGTCAAGGTATAATTTGTACTTTATTAACAGCTATCAAGGAAGTTCATTTTCTGAGCAATTTTTTCATCCTTTGATTTGATATTTTGGGTGTGGGGCATGGGGGTATGATGATAGTTTGTATTTCTTGGTTGTCCTGGCTACTTTCAAATTCTTTTCATTTCAGACTATTTTCTGTTGAATGATTTGACTTCTCCTAAAAATCTTTCCGGTATCCTGGCCCTCAATCATTTGCACATAATAATCCAATAAAGTATCAAAGTTTGCAGTAAATGGTCAGACGGCCGGCCAGCTTGATACAGAAAGGTTATGTTGATGGTACCCATGTTTAAATGCATTTCATTTCCAAACACATGCTTACATTCAGCAGAAACCTAATTGTAGAACTTTTGCTTATGGAGATGCTAAGCATAATCTATTGACCACGTATAAAAATACAATAATGACATCTCTAAAGAATGGTAGAGTAAATCACAAGACTTGATATTAGTTATGAGTTTTCTTATACTGTCTGTATTTGAAAATGTGTAATACTTGACACAAATACTGTGTTAGTTACATTTAAACAATTTTGTGAAATCAGAACACACACACATCCTTCCCCAGAGGAGTGCAAATATTGATGTTCTGTAGGCTCAAAGAATGATTGCTCAAATCCACATTTCCTTGGTTTTCTTACTTACCATATGTTATTCAGAATATTTTGCTCTTAGTTATGCTTTTGATGAAATCATTGATCTCTACTATCAGTATTCACCATTTGTCATTTTCTGAATCTCCTTGCCAGTATCACTTATCTTTTCTCCAGGTTCCAAAATGTAAGCAATTTTCTGATATTCTGGTCTAAATGCCATTTTCTTCTTTTACTCCTTTCTTTTCTACTATAGAACCTAATAACTTCTGGGGAGAAAGATTGAGAGTAAGAGAGAGGAGGGAGAAGAGAAGTAGGAGCAGAGACTTATATCATGCCATGACATGTATACTGAGTATTATCAGTGCACACCAATGCCCCACACATGTATGCATGTATGTATGCATGAAGTTTATTTGTGTCAATGAATAATAATTACCAATTTTGTATTAGGCAGTATTAGGATATCCGATACACAAGGATATATAGGACATAATTCTTCTCACTGAATTTACAGTGTAATAGGGCCAAAGCCCCGAAGAGAGCTAATGACAATACACTATACTAAAATAGAAGCATGCACAGATGTTAATATTACAAACAGGAGAGCTGCGTAGTCACCAGAGAGCCAGAAAGAGTGGTGAAAAAACTGAAGCTCATAGAAGCTCAGCACAATGACTATACCCATCAAAACCCTATCTAGAGGAAGGGCCCTCTCTTATGGCTCAATTTATTCTGTCAGGAGAGAGCCTTTTATCGTTTGTGCAAAAACTGGGGGCCTCAGATGACCTAAACTGATGCCATAAAATGTTAAAATAGCTCCTCTCTCTTTTAATTTCTAAGCTATTATGTGAATTCCCTATAATTAAAAATTATTAGTGGTTTTCAGTAGAGGCTCATGGTGTAACAGCTTGATCTTAATGTGCTTTCTATAACTAATCTGGAAACTTTTAAAACTCGTGGGCTTGTTTTTAATAAGTAATGGTATATATTTTATATAATGCTATATACAATAACAGAACAAAGTGGTATTTATAAATGCCTTACAGGTACCTACAGGCAAAACAAGTATGTATTTAAGCATGAGTTTTTTCAGAATGTTCACAATTCTGAGCACAAGACAATTTCTGATATTGAAAAAAATAGCATAATTCTAAGAAGAATGACTTATTCTTTAGTCATTGCTAGTCAAAACTAGTCTTACTAGTAATATATAGAAGAAAGATATACATACTTGCAAGAACAAAGAATTCAAAAAGAAAATAATAAAATAATGGGGGAAACCACATGTAAGTGCCAGCTCCTACAGTTATCTTCCATGACACCCAAGCCTTTCACTTCCTCTGGTGCAGCAGCATTTCAGTGGCCTCCAGCTGGGTCAGAATAGTGTTCATCTCGTGCTATTCTCTAGTGTCCCAAAGGTGTTTAATTTTCAAGTTACAGTTGACACAGAGGAATAGAATTCAGCAAATGCAAGAGGAACTTGAGATAAGAAACTAAAGGTGACTACAGGGATATTATCTTCGCTTTAGGGGAAACATATTCTCCAATGTAATCATTGAGCCATCTTGTGTCATCTTCTAATCCTGGGAGATGAGTGCTAAATAGATGAAGAACTCTATTTACTCTAGGATATGAGATTTTAAATGAAACAATCCCATGGACTTTTTTTTTAAGCCATGAGGCTACATGGCAAGATTTTTTAAATCTTTGTTTACACTTAATTATATGCCTATTTAGGATCTTGATTAACAAAAATTAGATATTAGATTGCCAGCAATGAATGTAGATGTAAAACACCACAAAAATATTTGAAAGTCTTTTATAACTCCTGAAAAATTGTTACTGAAATATTCAAAATGTTACTATTCACCAAAATTACCCTATTCATGTGATGAGTATGTAATGATCTATCTCTCTCAGTAGTTGCTGTGTATTCCTCTGTAATGTGAAATTGAGAAGATTCCTAAGACAGAATCAATATCATCTTGGCTACTGAAAAGTCACTCCTGTGTGTATAGTAGGTGATAGAGGAAGAAATGATGGGCTATGTATATTTTATGAGAGACTGCCTTTTTTTTTCTCTCTCTCTATAACAAAGTTCACACCACTGGCTTGTTGTATGACACTGTTCCTGGTTTTCAGTATATTCACACATGTATGCGGAGTAAAATATAGTCAAAAGTACATGCATCCCTTGTTAAACTGACCCAGGAACAATTTGTTAGCTTTTTTTTAAGGTTCTATGCTGCGAGCATAATGGAAGCAGCATGTGAGTTGAAGAAGGAAGGTCTTTTGGCAAGTCCTTCTCCACCATCCATTGGCTTTGAGATCTGGGACTAGTTCTTAATGTAAGACACTAGCCAGCTAAACAGTGCCGATCAGAAGTAATATACAGATCTGCTGCCTCCTAGTCTGAAGCTATTCCTTTTCCTACATGAAAAATGCCATTCAATAAGGAAGCTGTGCCTATATACTTCAAGCTCATTTAAAATAACTTCTGCTCTAAGAAATGTTCTGATACCACTCCATTAAGTCAGTTCTGAAATACCTTGGGTACAGCACTTCCTTTAAATGTCTGCTATTCCTTTAGAAGCACCACAATATTCTCCTTCTCATTTGCTGATTACTTGTGAGTCTAAGAAATGTTTAACTTATTACCAAGTGCGAGCAAATAGAAAAAGGTTGGAAAGAAACTGAAAGGAGCATGGCAGAGCCTTATAAACCAGTGGGGACAAAAGAGCATATTTAGAATTATAAATAAAGGTACTGTATATAAAATTGAATCCTAAAATATGAATTTAATAAATGCCTTAATAGCAACAGATTGAATGTTGTATTACTTTTGAAGAATAACAAGAAAAAGAAAATTTGGTTAAAATAACATTCTATAAATAGCATTAAGCTTCTTGATAAAAAGTCATTTACAAAACTGAGCTGCTGCTTCTAGTATCATGGTATTTAGATGTATAAAGATGTTGTCTTCCATTACTTTAATTCTATAATACCTTATGCAGCATGGAAATGAATTATCTTATTTCTGAGCTTGCATTTGGTATAAAGTTAACTTTAGAAGTTTGGTAGAATTGTGTGAATTCTGGTACAGATTATTCAAATGAGTCTACTTCAGTGGAAAAATCCATGGAAAAATAGTAACTGCACACACACACAAACACACACACACACACAGAGGGGGGTTGGAGAGAGAGAGAGAGAGAAAACAGTATATACTTATCGCATTCAAGAGAGTTTCCTATTTGGCACCATGGAATTATTCAAGTATCCATTGAGTCTTTGGAAATAATGCTATGATCACCTAAAAGAGCCTGCCAATTATTGCCATATGTGAATGTGGTTTTTATAATCTGGATACTTATGCCCTAGGATTTGGACTAATAGCTCTAACCTTTGACTTCTCATTAACTGCTAGAAAAACTATGAGACAGAGGAGACATTGGTCAGTGTCAACATGATATAAATTTGGACAAGTGGCTGAAAGTTGAGAGGATTAGTATCACCTTAGCGATGGTACTGTACTTACTGAGAAAAAAGACTGGGAAAACTAAAGTATTTGAAAGTCATACATGTTTGGAAACTATGTAAATGAAGGCTCCTTCCAAAAGTGAGGACGAGATGTAGAGGGAAGGCAGCCAGGTTTGGAAGTGTTTGCTAGTGCATGTGGCAGCCTAAGAAATAAAAATTTATAATTGCCAGTATTGGGAGTGGGAAGAGTGTACCTATATAAAAAAGCAAAGCAGCTTTGAGCTACAAAGTCAAAGGTAATCATTTCAATTACCCCTGAGGAGATCCATTCAGCTTTGGTGCTTTTACCAGCAAGTACAAAGATTTCAGAGCATGGTAAACGTATTAGATATATGTGATCAGATGGCCTGGCATATACACCAAGAACCAAAAGCAAAAATTGCTTTGACTTGTCTAATTTGTTAAGTTATCTAGACATAGTTTATCTATGGAAATCTCTAGGCTCATAAAGTAGGGTGTGGCAAAGGACTTGCCATATATCTATTAATAACATACTTGGAAAAGAAGGTGCTCTTTTGTGATATATCTTTGTGAATTATATTTAAAAAGTATAATTTTAACAGAAAAGGATGTTGGTATAATATTCCAAGAAAAAGCAAATGTCCAATACATCTCCAAAAGTAGAAGACTAAGTAAAGGCAAATGTGGTTTAATATTGCTTAAATATATTGACACATCTACCTATGTTGCAGATTTTAAAAATGTTTATACACAATATGTAAGCATTTATTTATATAAATGTGTGTCAATACTTACTAATTTCTAATATGCTAATGTGTATTAGAGAATATTTATACTCACATGTAATTCCTACAAAATCCTATTATAAAGTTTTCACTATCCCCATTTTACAGACAAACTAAAGCGTGAGGAGGCTTTGTAACTTGTTCAGTTACATATATAGTAACTGGCAGAGCCAAGATTTGAACCTGAGCATTCTGAACCTGGGCTCTTAACAATTAAAATGTGCAGATCAAAATAATATCTCCTATTGATTTACCAGCATTGAGGATGCACTTTAAATTGTTGGTCCAATAGTCATGACATGATTTTTGTTGGTATGATCATAATTTTTTCTTTTCTATTTTGTTATAAATAGTATTTATTAGCCAACAACAACAAAAAGCTTATATTGGAGTTCTTAAAACACAGGCTTTCTATTTTTGAAGACAAGTATCTGGTTCATAAAGAAATCAAAACCAGTATTCTGGTTTAATAAGTACTATATTCTAAGACAATGAATCGCTCAACTCAGTAAAGATAGTTTATTTTTCTTACGTATCAGTAACGTGAAAGATTTCTCCAGCAATATTTTATTGAATTATTTTTACATAGAAATTATGTATTTCTAGATCACTTTGGCTTCTCTAGAAATCCATATTTTTGCTAACCAACTTCATTTAGTGTCAATAAACAGAAGCCTATGTGACAAAGAAAACTAAATGTGGCATTTTTCATAACATGAAAATATTGGAATCCATTTTTTTTTGCAGTACAAATACTATAAATACCACACGATTTACTACAGCAAATGCTAACTTGGCATTTCCTATTGGCTAACTCAATGTAACACATCCAAATTATAACTCCTGTGCCTTTGCTCATATAGCCATTCCTTCTGTAACTCAAAAAATAGGAATAGTTCCCAACTGCTCAATGTGGAACTTTAGATGTCAGTCTTTTTTTTTTTTTTTTTTTTTTTAATTTTTGAGACAACATCTCACTCTGTCACCCAGGCTGGAGTACAGTGATGCAATCTTGGCTCACCGCAACCTCCACTTCCCAGGTTGAAGCGATTCTCATGCTTCAGCCTCCCAAGTAGCTGGGATTACAGATGTGTGCAAACATGCCGTGCTATTTTTTTTTGTATTTTTAGTAGAGACGAGGTTTCCCCATGTTGGCCAGGCTGGTCTCATCCTCCTGAACTCAAGTGATCCACCTGCCTAGGCCTCCAGGCGCTGTGGCTCACGCTTGTGCTGGGATTAAAGACATGACCCACAGCTCCCAGCTAGTTTATTTTTTTATTTTTTTTATTTTTTATTTTTTTTAACTAGTTTATCCAGATTTATTTTTTCTACTTCTATTGCTATATCATTGGCAAAAATTACATATATTTAAGGTATACAATGTGACAATTTCTTATACATACACACTGTGAAATGATTACAAAAACATATCTATCACTACACATAATTACCAACTTTTAGATGTCATCCTATTTTTTTATAATTTCAAGTTTTATTTTAGATTCAGAGCATACATGTTCAGGTTTGTTATATGGCTATATTGTGTGATGCTGAGATTTCGGATATGAATGATCCCATCACCAAGATAGTGAGCATAATACCCACTTAATTTTTAAACCCTTACCCACCTCCCTCTTTCCTTGCCATTGGTCCCCAATGTCTATTGTAGCCATCTTTATATTTGCGAGTACCCAGTATTTAGCTCTCAGTTATAAGTGAGAATGTGCACTATTTGGTTTTCTGTTCCTGCCTAATTCACTTCGCATAATGGCCTCCAGTTGCATCCATGTTGCTGCAAAGGACATGATTTCCTTCTTTCTTATGGTTGCGTGGTGTCCCACTGTGTATATGTACTATATTTTATTTATCCACCACTGATGGGCACCTCGGTTGATTCCATGTCTTTCTATAGAGAATAGTATTGTGATGAACATAAGAGTTCATGTGTCTTTTTGGAAGAATGATTTATTTTATACTCTCTTCCACTTTGCACTCTGCATCATCTAAAATCTTCATATCATCTACATAATGTATCTCAAATAAATACATTTCTTTCTATGTCCATAATCACTTCTCTACCTATGTCTTATGATTTCTTATTTAGATTATTTCAGTAGTTTCCCATCTGTTCCATTCTTGACTCAGTTTAATACATTTTCCCGATAGAAGCAAGCATAATCTCTTTGAAATGTAAATCTGATTATGGTGTACCTCATGCGTGAAACCTTTCAATAACCCCTGATAACACTTAATGTAGAAAAACAAGCCACCTTAATATAAGCCTGAAGACATGGCATGGCCTAATTGGCCTGCATGTGCCACCAAATTAATCTGAGGCCCTCATATCATTTCTTTTCCAGCTATACTCTTTTTCTTTACCTTTCATTTACTCTCCAGTTCTTTCCTGCCTCAAGACTTTTACCCTAGAATTCTCTGCCTTCTACTTTATTTTTTCCTTTTACATATCATGTGAATACTGTAGTACTTTGTACATATCACAGAAAATGATAGATCTCTTTTAAAGGTTAGACACTGTACATACCATAAATATTATTCAACTGGAAATTCACTTACTCCATTTCTTTTCTATGCCAACTTAAATTTTTATTTAATAAAAAAAGTTTCCTTAGTAAATGTAACTCATATTTTCCTTTATTTTTGTGATATTTTCTTTAATATAATTAAGATTTATATACAGTTAAGATATTATACATATTAAGAATTTTTAAAAATGAAATCTTTAATATAACCAAAGATTATATTAAAGAATACAAAATTAAAATATAATTAAAGATTTTGTTTTAAATAAATGCTTATAGGACACTGGGAAGTCCTTTTTTTCTGGTTTTAAAATGTGATTATGATGATCATTAATTATATATATTATTATATGTTATGTACATATTACATATATTATACAGAGTTGTCCCTTGGTATCAATGAAGGATTGGTTCCAGGACCCCTGAGGATACCAAAATCCATGGATGCTCAAGTCCCTTGTATATAATAGTGTTGTATTTGCAAATAGCCTATTGCATGCTTCCATATACTTTATCTCTAGATTACTTGTAATACCTAATACAATGTAAATGCTAATAAGTGGTTGTTATACTATATTATTTAGGGAACAATGGCAAGAAAAAGATCTGTACATGTTCAATACAAGTACAACCATCTTTTTTTTGAGACAAGATCTTGCTCTCTTGCCCAGGCTGGAGTGCAGTAATGCAATCATGACTCACTGAAGCCTTGAGTCCCCTGGTCTCAGGTGGTCCTCCCACATCAGCCTCCTGAGTAGCTAGGACTACAGGCAAGTGCCACCACACCCTGCTAATTTTTGTATTTTTTGTAGAGATGGGGTTTCACCATGTTGCCCAGGCTGGTCTGGAACTCCAGAGCTCAAGAGATCCACCTGTCTCAGCCTCCTAAAGTGCTAAGATTTCAGGAGTGAGCCACTGCACCTGGCCCTTGACTAGCCAGTTTTTTTTTTTTAAATTGATCTGTGGTTGATTGAATCCATAGATGCAGAACCCATAAATACAGAGGCCAACTGCATTTCTGTATTTAGCACCTAATGAAACACATAAATATCTTTACAAATTTGTCCATCCTCTTTCTGTTTTTTTAATTCGGAAGCTTCTTGATGGATTCATAGCATGAGACTGATTATTTAAAGGGAAATTAGACCTACTAAGATATATGTGTTTGGTTGGACCAAGTAATTGGGCATAGGACATGTGATAATGGAGAATTGCTGTGGAGAGATGAAAGAGGCCTCCATTCTTCCCTGAAAGTTTTTCGGTTGCCTTATATAAGCCAGTCATTCTAGTACATGGTAAGAAATAAAGGTAAATAAAAGAAAGATGCCCATGAAGTGCACTTACCTTATCTATCACACTGCAGTAACATAATAGGAGTGGAGTTTTAAACACATGTAGAATGTGCTTTCTACATGTGTTTTATGAAAACATGATTATACTGTCAGTGTTTAGAGTGACAAGATTGCCTTACAAGATATATCAATTTTCAACTGAATATAGCACACTGTTTTAGAAAGAAGATTTTCAGGTAGTTGAAATTTTTATCTGGCCTGTAAACACACAGATGATGAAATGTTAAGGCAGTTAGAAATGACTGCTAGAATATGAGTTCAAATGATTTTATAGAATACTTCCATGAACTTGCCTAGTCATAAAAATTTTCTTTTCAGATATATCCCCACACTATGTATCATCAAATAAACTGTAAGCGCTAAGAAACCAAGACTTACTCAGAAGGAAAGTGGTACAGACTCTATCATGTGTTATACTGAGGGCACGTTAGGTGTACTATTAGATGTGTTTTTCCAGTTCTAATTGACAAAAGTGTTATTGGTTTGTAAATACTTTATTTAATTGTGCCAAATGTATAATCAAATTGGTAGGTGCAGTTGGGGGACAGTATGGAAAGTTTTTTTAGGCATCTTTTCTGAAGTGCATCAATATACCCCTGAAAGTCTTGAGAACTGTGCTTTTTTTTTGTTTGTTTGTTTTGTTTTTCTCTGTATTGCTTTCAGATACATGGTACGGACACATAGTAGGGCGTTATATCTGTAAATGCCATAAACTGTTTCTGATCAAAACTCAAAGAACTTGGGAGGCTGAGGCGCATGGATCACTTGAGGTGAGAAATTTGAGACCAGCCTGGCCAACATGGTGGAACCCCATCTCCACTAAAAATACAAAAATAAGCTGCGCATGGTGGCTGTCACCTGTAATCCCAGCTATTTAGGAGGCTGAGGCAGGAGAATCACTTAAACCCGGGAGGCAGAGGTTGCAGTCAGCCGAGATCATGCCACGGTACTCCAGCCTGGGTGATAGAGTGGGACTCCATCTCAAAAAAAGAAAAAAAGAAAAAAACAGAAAAAACTCAAATAATTTATGCAATCTCACTTTATTACTTTATTCTGTCAGACGTTAAGCACACTCCACTAATTTTGGAACATAAAATGCTTTATTTTTTCCCTCTACCCAATAAAGTTCCGTGTTTCGACTAATAACATGTAGTAGACAGTCCATTACATGGGAAGCAGGCAGATCCCCCCACAAAATAATTCAGCCCACAAATACCTTTTCAGCAGGTTTGCATAAATTAAGCATTCTCTACTCCTAATAAAGTTTCTTTGCATCAGAGCCAGTCACTTGACTAGACCTCTAAGATATTGTTGAAGAAAACTACTGTGAAACTAACAGTCACTGGAAAGAGATAAGGTAATCAATTTCCCTGTGTGCCTTGGAAGATGTCTCTATCTTCATAGTCACCCTTCCATTAAATTGGTTACATTATTTTTACAGTGCAGGATTGCATGTTAATGCTACATTAGTTGTTCTTTTACAGTTTTACATGAATAAGAAGAAATTGGATGCAAACACAGAATACCTATGTCTTGGAAGCCCTCAAACATAAGTTTCATTTCTGTTTACAACACTTAAATCTTGGGATAAACAGCCAATGCACTTAATACCTTTAAGCCCTAACCTTCTCCTCAGGAAAAAGAGATAATACCAGTCTCACATAATTGTTATGAATATGGAATTAAAACACAGGTGCAATGCTAGGCATGGAGTAGGTTTCAGTAAATGCTGCTTTTTACATTACCTGTAGGTATGAACTGTTCTCTCCAGGTACATCGTTCTGGAAAAGGTGATGTAAACATTGTAGTTCAATGTGCCTGGGTTTTCAAAGGCAACAAAATGTGTGCCGCTGTCTAAGATGTAACAATCTCAGGGAACTAACTCCCTTTCCCACCCTCTTCCCAATCCCTCACCTTTTTAGGTCTCATTTTTTTGCATGTTATAAAAAGGACACAATTATCCTGAATGAGTATCTCAAGGCAATCAATGAAATTCTAAAAAGTAACTCCAAAGGGTTAATGGAATATGTAATTATCTCTACTAAGAAATAGGGTGATGGTTTAAATTCATATGTAAACATACACACATACCCTCGGCGTGTCCATTTTAACACACACAAACACAACAATTCTCTCTCCTCCTTCTCCTTCCCACTCCCCGCTCCGCCCCCACCATCCTCTCCACACTTCTAGGGTAGCAACACTGAATACAGATGGCCAAGTCTGAGGTTATGTGACATTTCCAGATAAAGTGAACAAAAATGGCAGAGATTCTTCTATTGTTCTTCCTTATGGTCCACATTCCTAATGTGTCCCAGTTATTTATACTATGAGTGTTTTATATTTGCCAACTATAAGCAATCCATCTTAATATTTCCAATACGCTATTTTCTCATCTTTTCTCCCATTCTTCCTGTCCTCTAAAAGGACAGGAAGAGAGAATTTCTTCCTCTTAAATGGATTTAATCATTGTATTCCTTTTATTGCAATTCATCTTCCAAGTTGAAAGTAAAGTTTTAGCATAACATAGTGAAGAAAAAAAATGGTTATCTCTATATTTATAAATTAACCATTTTAAAGAATGTAAACCTGTTATAGTGCATCTTGAAGTTTTGGGATATTTTATTTTCATAACACCATTAAATACTACTATATATTGCTGTGGTATCTGCCCATGAGATTGTTCCATATGCTTGAGAAGTTTCTTCCCACCTTCACTGGGAGAGGGGAATATTTTTGTGTTTCTGACATACAAATGTCAGTGAATATACAAATCTGAAACTTTATAGAGGCAAGTTTTTAAAAATATTTTTATTCTTAGAAAAATATTTTTTATTAAATAAGATAGAACTCATTTTATGTGAAAATCAAATATATAAATGTTTCTATACAATTACAAATATTTATGTCTTTATAGTTTCAAAAAAGAGGATTCTTTTAAGATATTTAAAAAACTCATTCAGTCAAGTTTTGTTGATCCCCTAAGCACTTATTTATCATGGTGTTTATGTTTTCCTTGAGAAATCCATTCTTATCTATTTAGGGAATAAATTTCAGGATACCTTAAGTAGAAACCCCCTTTCCATCTTAGAACAAATACTTACCATAAACATAAAAATAAATAAAAAACAGACCCTAAAATTACACTAACTCTTACTTTATTTTTCTGTTACCTGATAAATGTCTGTCTGCCATGAAATCACTCAAAGCAAATATTGAATACTTTTAAATGATAAACTTCTCCTAGTTGGTAATATTATGTGATAATAAAAATCCAATGTATAAATTATATATCATAGGTTTTTTTTAAATCCATTGGCTTTTTAACAATAATATTATCACATAAGTCATAGTAATAAATTTCGAAAAATAAAGTGGGATGGAAAGCTGATAGGATGATATGAAATATTAAGGTGTGAATTTGAAAGCTGAGTTAATTCCTCAGAATAGAAATGTATGTTAATTTAAAATAAATTTATCTAAACAGTAAAGCCAATTTAAAGGACTTATAATAAAATGCAATGATGTCACCATTTTTCAAAGTTCCAGTTTGTCATCTTTTATTTGCAGAGTGGATAATCAACAATATAACTAAGAGAGCAAATAATTGCACATTGTATTTTGCAGCATCCACAGAAATTTGTCGTTTATCCCTCTAAATTTTCCGCTCTGTTTTCATTTAAAATCCTGGATTTAAAAAAGTGCTATCTTCTGTATACATCTTACCAAGTGGGGATGCAATTACTTAATCTGGAAAGTGTGAAAATTCATGTTAGTGGACTATCAAAATTTTCTGTCAATTATAAATTTCCTCCATGTTGCATGTTTTTGAAGGGAAAAAAGCAAGAAGAAAAAGGAAGCTCTTAGATCAGTGAAATGGAAGTAAGAACAAATAAAAACTGTGGTGAGTGGATGTTTGTGCATCTGTATGTGTGTGTGTAGACAGAGTGAGAGACAGATATGGATATGCAGATGTTTGCCCCACATAGAGTGTGCAAGTGTGCAATGTATTTACATACGTTACATGTACATAACTGCACGCACATGCACCCAAACCTCAAATTATACAAACACACATATTCTTTGACTAAGATATTTTGATTTTTTATTGTGTATGTGCAATAATTTTACTTCTAAGAACCTTTTCGTTTTTAAGTTTATGAAATAAGTGATCAAGTTAATGTTTGATGAATAAGAAAGTACAAACAACAACAAAATTATATATACATTTTTATCCTGCCTTTTTCCTGTAAAAATATTATGAGCATCTTTCCATGTGAGACACTAATACCATTATACAAATGTATGAGAATAGCATAACTTATTTATAAAAATGTGTGAACATAGCATAATTTATTTAGCTGCTTTTCTAATTTAGGTCATCACACTTTTTTTCTAATTTGCCAATTTTATAAATAGTGTTGCTCATATAACTTTGTGTAGATGAACATACCTAGGACCTAAGTGTTCTTCCTACATTCATGTACAATATTGATCCTTTAGAAATTACAGCATCTAGGTTTTCATCATTTCTATCTCAGACTCCTTCTCTGGGTGGCATTGGACACTCCAAAATTCAATTTATGGTGGTAATTCTGTTCATCTAAAATTAAATTATAAAGGTGGATATTTGATTGGTAACCAAACCTCATGTTCTAGTTATGATTCCAAATCAGCCTGGGAAATGCTAATTTATAGTAAAGAGTATTCAGATGTAGTAGTGATTTAGCATCTCCAAAACTCCTTTCTAGGAGTTTTCCTATACATTCCAATGCTGTTCTGATATTTAACAAAACAAACAAACAAGCAAACAAAACACTTCAGAAAAGCTTTTCAGCACTATTCTGAAAAGCTTCTCCAGGCTGTCTGCTAATATATCCTGAGTATAGAGTTGAGCTTTATGCATTTTGACATTCACCTTAATAACATCTTCATAAATAAGACTTTCTATCCCATTCTCGCTCTGGCCCTTCCCACATAATCGTCTGCTCATTACATGCATATTCTGTTAATTGATCTCATTCTCTGAGCACTGATCATGAAGAACGGAAAACCCAACTAGTGCTACTCTTAGGACATACAGTTCCTTGAAAGTGGACAGCCAAAAAGCTGGCAAAACACCACCATCCTCAGGACCAGAAGCTGTTTTAACATTCTCTTTGTGGCGAATGTACATTGGACATATTTTAGTGTTACTGGCACCTGTCTTACTAAATCTGATGCAATAACAACAAACACAATAAAGCCTTGTTACTAAGCTATCTTTGAGCCATACTGGATTGTGATTGATTTTGCTGTGTTTAATGGTGTGGTGGCATTTTGCCTTAGGCCTTTTTTATAGAACAGTGGAAGGAACAGAAGAAGGAAACACTTGATCACTTTGTAAATGCTGCACATTGCAGGCAGAGTTTAATGACTGAACGTAGCCACTTCCAGTGTATTGAAATGCCTGGGCCTTGCCTCAACGCATTGTACCTCTATTCAGATGGCAAAGAATAGAGTTCCTGTAACATTGTGGAGTGCAGCTCATTTTGGGCATAAACAGTTGCTGTGACCTTGTACAGGCAAATAGACCCTGTCAGGCCTGGAATTGCAGGGCCAGGAAATCATCTGTTTAGTCAGTGCTGGTTCTAGTCATTAGTTTGTGTTTATGGCTGGGAATTGCTAATATAGCCCTGTGTGGAGGGAGCTAACGTCTGAATACTAAAAGAGACCTATTTACCAACAGCTTTATTTTTTTAATTTAAAGTCAATTCAAATTGAAATGAGCCTTTTAACCCTTAATTAGGACCATGTTTCTTCTAAAAGTCAACCACATTAGTCAACCGGAGACAAAATTCACTTTGCAATTGAAAGGCTGCCTTCTTTCTTTCAACAGTAGCCACCATGGTTTACTAAGTGCATTTGTTTCCCTTTCACTATGGTAACTTTACCCATTCCCTGTATCAGCATAGTTCAAAGTCATCAATTACAACTGTGACAAAAATGTGTTTTGTGCTTTGGGAATGAGGCCAAGATTCTATCTGGAAGCTCTTCCATAATGATTATTCATTGTATAGGTAGTGCTCATAATACTCCCTGTTTCATACTTGTTTCCATATTATTTTTCAGAGCTGGCAGTTTGCTATTTTACCCCCATATGGGCCCACAGTGTTTAGTTCCTGTTTTATTGTTTCCCCTTCATAAATATGAAATCAGCAGGTTCCCAAAATATTTCTAATTCATCCACTACAAATTGGTATTATTTTGGCTTCCTTCTATTATCTTACTCATATTTTTAGTATTTCTTAATAGAAAATTAACATTTTGCAAAGGCCTTATCTAATTTGTTTCACTGTGGCCCATTCTGGGTGTTTTTTAAAATAAGTTTTGGTGTTTGCTCGATAATGCACAAGCATGCCGTCACTAACTCGGCACTTAAACTTGAAGAGCTGAAGACTAGATTAGCAAGAAAAGGGTAAATAAAACCTAACTGCAGGCTGGGCAGGGTGGCTCATGCCTGTAATCCCAGAAGTTTGGGAGGTTGAGGCGGGGAGATCACTAAGGTCAGGAGTTCGAGACCAGCCTGACCAGTATGGTGAAACCCCATCTTTACTAAAAATACAAAAATTAGTTGGTGTGGTGGCATGCGACTGTAGTCCCAGCTACCTGGGAGGCTGAGATAGGAGAACTGCTTGAACCAAGGAGGCAGAGCTTGCAGCAAGCCAAGATCACGCTGCTAATTCCAGCCTGGGTTACAGAGCAGAGCAAGACTCCATCTCAAAAAGAAAAAAAAAAATAAAAAACCTCACTGCAGACTAACAGAAGGCAAATGTGCTCTCTTTTCAGTTGTCTTTTTAATACTGTGCTTATTTTTCTTGTCATTAAAAGAGAAAATATCTTATATTTTTAAAATTAGAAATAATTTTGATTGATGTTATCAAATTTGATTTTTATGTCTATTCATTCCCATAAAATTCACAAACTTCCAAACATTCTTCACAATGTAAAATGTGGGAAGGGGATGACTATCATAACATATAGTTTTATTATGTTATTGGTTATGATGAAAGTATAACAGGGAATTATTTGTTTGGCAGTCAATGTATATCATTCAGTCCATTTGACTATAAAACCAATATGCCCTTTGAATATACACTACTCTGCTAGAGGAAAGCACTGCAAAATCCATCATTTCTTTTTCAAGTATATTTGTTCTCAGCCAGGAAAGAATTTCATTTCCTTGTTCTGTTGCCATATGGCATTTTATAATTTCAATGGCTAATTTTAATCCTTAAAGCAGTGATGAACATGAAGTTAATTTGTTCTTTTATCTCCACTTAGAAAGTGTTACTAATCCTACAGATTTGGGCATACAGGGTATTAACATTTTAAAGTGTCTAGGCTAAGAAGAGTCTTTAGAGATAACTTAGTTAACATCTGTCATTTTTTAAATGAGGAAATTGAAGTCCTGATAAGACAACTGGTTGCAAATAATTCACTCACTTTAAAAATTCATCTCATTCACTGCTAGGTGCTGGATGGTGTGCCAGATATAGGGTGCACAAAATGAATAGGAAATAACTCCTGTCTCTGTATGGCTCAGGCTCTAATCTGGGAATACGTAATTACTTAGGGTAGAACCTTAGAGTTATTTATAGAAGAGGAAGTCACTGTCTCAAACACCTCATTAAAGTTTGAAGATACCTGATCAGTAAATCTAAGCCAACACCTATTTAATAGGAAAAGCTAGATCAAAACATGCCATTTCCCGCTTCCTAGTCCAGTGCTTTTCCTCTAACATGCTGAAGACAACTTGAAGTATTGGGATAAAAAGAAGAAATTTCAGGAAATTGCTTAGTGAAGATAACATATAAGTGACATATAAAAACGTATCTTGCAACTCCAATTCTCAGGTGAGAAGATCCATTTATAAAATAACCATGATATGAAACTGATCTCCTTTTTAAAAGCTGGGATTTTGACTTTTATTACTATAAGACACAATAAATGGTTGTTTTCATTTCTTTGGGCTGCTATATCAAAATACCATAAGCTGGTTAGTTTATAAACAATGGAAATTTATTTCTCCCTGTTCTGAAGGCTGGGAAGTCCAAGATCAAGGGGCCAGCATATTCGGTGTCTGGTGAAGACTTATTTCCGGGTTCATAGGTGACACCTGCTAGCTGGGTCCTCAGATGATAGAAGGGACAAGGCAGTTCTCTGGGACCTCTTTTATAAGGGCACTAATCTCATTCATGAGGACTCTGCCTTCATGATCTAAACCTCCCCAAGATCCCACCTCCTAAAACCAACATATTGTTCATTAGATTTCAACATATATATTTTAGGGAAACACAATCATTCACATCATAGCAAGTGTCTAGGTCATTTTAGGAAATCGATACATGTTTGATAAAAGTGAAGGAATGAATTCAAACATTATGTGAACAAATACAATTCGTAGCAAATCCAGGATGATATCTAGTAAGGCTTGAGAAGGTGCTGCCTTCCATTTTAATTGTTATCAACTTAGACTCATGGATCATCTTACTTGAATATATCAATATAATGTTAAAGATAAGAGTTCCTGCCACAATTAACTAGTTTAAAAATCTTCTTACAAAATGGGAGAAAGCATCTCTGGAGCCACATAAAAAGGTGGCAATTTGCTTCCACTTGAAAGATTTTAAACTATTCAATCACTCTTTGGTTTTGCTATCCTGGGGTTAAGATCCATGAATAATTTTTCCACGTGTTTGACTGACAAGAACATTTACTACTGGATTACCTGAGGGAAGACGTAAATCAGAATTGTGTCATTTTGGCAGCAGCTTTTTGATATGTGTGTATCTGCCTTAGTTAAGTATTGATTTAATAGCTGGTCTCCACTACAGACAACCTTGACTGTATAGCTGGGGCTTTGTATTTTAAAATTTGTCTCTGGATAAATCTTTTTTCCACCCTTCTTGTCTAATCTCTTTTTTCTTTGGTATTCTCTAATAAGTTGACTGGGACTTATTTTCATTAACAAAAGGAAAGAAAGCACATTAATACATCTACTTTTTATTTCCTACTTTTATTCTCTTATATGTGCAACCTCCTTCAGCCTATAAAAATGCTTAAATGAGAGAAATGTGTAGATTGTTACTCACTAGTTTTACATTCAAGGAAGGAAAGGAGATGTTTTCAATATACAATCATTGTCTTTGCTACTATAAGCAAAGATAACACACACACACATTCACACACAAACATAGATGCTCCTTAAAGTCTTTAATACTCAGGATGATTTTTTGAAGGATAAAGAAGACATGACAGACAGACAGGTAATTGAGCACAAGTTGATTTACTGCAAGGGAGAGAGATTGCTTATTGATGATATAAATTTAAAAATTGGCTTGTTAGAGAAAAATACATTTATAGAGATTGTTTCTTTATAAAATAATAATTTTATACATTCTCCACTCATATTCTCAAATTCATTGAACAGTTTTGGTGGAGAATTGAGATACTACTTGGACAAGAAATGGAAAATTTACTTATATGCCTCCCAAATACAGCATGTCACTGTCGTCCTACTCGTGAAATTGAAAAATTCCCACTGCCCTTCCAACTAAAAGGACACTTACTCATCCGCCCATACCAATGTTAGACATCAAATAGATAGCAAATCCTAGAGAAAGGCTGGGTGCAGTAGCCCAAGCCTGTAACCCCAGCACTTTGGGAAGCTGAAGGGGGAGAAACTCTTAAGGCCAGGAATTCAATACTAGCCAGGTAATATAGTGAGACCTCATCTCTACTAAAAGTTTTAAAAATTAGCCAAGCATGGTAGAATGCACCTGTTGACCCAGGCTGAGGTGGGAGGATTGCTTGAGCCCAGGAGGTGGAGGCTGTAGTGAGCTGTCATCATGCCTCTGCACTCCAACCTGGACAGTAGGGTGAGAAGAGCAAGACCCTGGCTCAAAAAAAGAAAAAAAAAAAAAGAAAAACAAAAATCCTAAATCCTAGAGAAAGACATGTACGAGAGAGCATTAGCCTTTCTGTGATGTTTTCTCACTTGGAATAGATGACAAAGTCTTGCAATTTTTAATTAAATAAAAGTTTAAATGACTATGTTTCAATTTCATATCAACAGTTTAGAATTGGTAGAAAAATAATTTGTGTTTTAAGGAAGTAATTTGCTTTCAATGATTGATTTTTATAAAATTAAAAGAAAGATTCCTTCCCTGTTCAAACTATACCATTGAATTTCTTTGTTATCTTGGGCATGCTGTCCTTTCCATTGGTGCTTCAATTGTACAGTCTATAAAATACACAGACTGATACCTACACCGATAATTTCAATAGAACTTTGATAAGATTTAATTGAGATGGTACATATAAAAGTCCTACCAAAGAAGTAAAGACATCTACAAAAATTAAAATGTTATTATAGAATCTAGCATTTTACTCTGCATATAGTTGACATTAAATGACTATCTATTCATTCGTGGTTAAAGCCTATCAGCTAGTTATCAGGTGTCAGATGTTGCAATGTCTGTCCCTAAACTGTGTGTCACTTAACTTTCTGGACTTCAGTGACCTCAGATGTAAAACACACATACAGATCAATGTGATTTCTAAGGATCTTTTAGCTCCATTAGGCTATTATTCTATTTAATTAGCACATCTCAACTGAATTTCCTATTCATCTAGTCACTCAGGTATGCCGTCTGCTACAAGTAAAAGAAACCTAGGCCACAGTGACTTAAACAAACAGGGTATTGTCTTTCTGACATTATAAGAAATCTTGAGATTGGTGGTTCCTGGATCAAGTACAGAAAACACATCATGCTGAATTTCTTGGCCTTTCACTCATGATCACATGTAAGCTGCTGCAATTCCAGCCATAATGTCCATAATCAAGGCTGGAATAACTTGGCTTCAAGTTGTATTTGTACATCTTGTTAGAAAACAAAAAGGTATCACAAATATTTTAATCGGACTTCTGTGTACATTTCTTTGCCCACCTTTTTGTCCATAACTTTGGCCGTTCATCTCTAGCTTCACTGGTCTAAGGAAGGAAGGATTTGGCTGGCTTCATCTGTGAGCAAAATCAGGATTCTGCTGGCAAGAAGGGAGCAGAGTTTGGGTATTGAGTACCAACACTACTTGCCATAAAATTCTATGTAACAGTTTGTATTTTTCATGTTGATTTATTTGTATATTGAATTATGCTTCATACTGGCCACTTCTACTATCTATGTATGATCTTTCTCAAATGGCGCTCCTTCTGTGGAGTCTCTTCCAACCACCAATCACAATGAAGTGATTGCTCAGCATGATTTGTATTAAATGCCCGCTGCCCATTTTCTATTGCAAGGGCCCTTTGGGCATGGGCAGAATTAGGGACATTTTTGCCTTTTTGGGAATCAAAGAGCCCAAACAAGAATAGATGTTTGACAAATATTTATTTATTTATTTATTTGTTGAGACGGAGTCTCGCTCTGTCGCCCAGGCCGGACTGCAGTGGCGCTATCTGGGCTCACTGCAAGCTCCGCCTCCCTGGTTCCCGCCATTCTCCTGCCTCAGCCTCCCGAGTAGCTGGGACCACAGGCGCCCACCACTGTGCCCGGCTAATATTTGTATTTTTAGTAGGGACGGGGTTTCACCGTGTTAGCCAAGATGGTCTCGATCTCCTGACTTTTATGGTTTTTACAACATTTGTTATACAGGTATTCACTAAACACTCAGTCACTTTTTGTTTCTATTACAGATGGCTATACTATACGATACTTGAAAAGAGAGTCACATAATCACTTCCTAGGTACTGCACAAATTATCAAGATTATTGATAGTATCTTGAAGGTAGCTACAGTTAATAAACCTAAAAGTTAAGAATGCTACTCAAACTAGTCACTAGACTTTATCCAATTATGACTAAATAATAACCCTGAGATAATAACAGTAAAGGATACGTAGGCACATATACATACAGCTTCATAAATATTTGTCGGCCTGTGGCGGTGACTCACGCCTGTAATCCCAGGACTTTGGGAGGCCGAGGCGGGCGGATCACAAGGTCAGGAGGTCGAGACCAGCCTGACCAACATGGTGAAACTCTGTCTCTACTAAAAATACAAAAATTAGCTAGGCCTGGTGGCGCACGCCTGTAATCCCAGCTACCTGGGAGGCTGAGGCAGGAGAATAGCTTGAATCTGGAAGGCAGAGATTGCAGTGAGCCGAGATTGTGCCACTGCACTCAAGCCTAGGTGACAGAGTGAGACTCCATCTCAAAAAAAAAAAAAAAAAAAAGAAAGAAAGAAAAATTATAATTGTTAGGGCAGTAGAATTGACTATATGTAATGGATCTCAGTGTGACACCAAAAGTTGTTCAATACATTGGAAATTGGTCCTACAGCAGCCATTCTTGGTAGGAACTAGAAAACAGTAAGACTAGATTAATGATTGCTATCATTTTAAGTTATTCCAGTAGTTTATTTTGGCAGTGTATTTCCCTTGTCTTATTTTAAGAAACTTTCAGTAAGAAGATAGTCTACCATGGATATATTGTATTTCTTTTCAGAAACATATTTAGTGATTATAAATATTGATTTGTTCACACAGGTTTTACTTTAATGCAAATAATCTTCTCTTCAC
The DNA here is from genome assembly GCF_000001405.40 of Homo sapiens. Taxonomy (NCBI): domain Eukaryota; kingdom Metazoa; phylum Chordata; class Mammalia; order Primates; family Hominidae; genus Homo; species Homo sapiens. The sequence goes on from NC_000003.12 coordinate 89,339,736, forward strand.
AATATGAAGTTAATATAAGAAAATTCTAGAATGTAATGACCATCTATAGGGCCTATTCTGTATATAAGTTCTGTAAATCATCAAGTCTATTTAAGTTCTGTAAATCATCAAGTCCAAATGTGGCACTGAAATTGAGCTTTAGAAGTTTTAGAAATTATTGACTTCCAAGGATCATCTTGAATCTAAAATTTACATCCCAAATTCCTTCTCAAATGAATTACTAGAGACTTCTTGGAATTTTCACTATGATTTTAGTTCTCAATGTAATTATAAAAATGCATCAAAAGAAGTAATGCAGCATTTTGAATTTTCTATCAGACAAAATGAAAATAATATAGTAGAGGCAGTTTTAGGCATATCTCTGTAAAACAGTACATAGATGCTGAACCCTAAATTATAAGCTGAAATCAATGTTCGATAACCAGTTCAATAGGCTTACAAAAACCATTTTATGCAGAGATATGGCCAGAAATTAAAAAGATAACACAGTTATTAAAAGAGCTCTCATCTAGTAACAGTTCATAAGTGTATTAGTTTAAATAGGAACTGTATATCCCTCTGTATTTCAGATATAGACAAAGGAATATATTTAAATCTTTATTTTAGGCCATTGCCATAGGAAGTAAGGAAAAGTACTGTCAAGCCAGAAAAAAATATTGTAGCTCATGAAAATTATTTATCAAGAATCTTAAAAATATACGTGAAGCCATGATCTCTTCTTTCAGTTGCTTACACTTTGTGGGACGAAGTTGTACCCACAGAGCAATTAGAAAACTAGTCAATGTTAATATACTGCTTGCTGCAGTGCAGATAGTATACACATTGCATCATGTTTTAAAAAGGGAATTACTACATGGTGACATGGTTTTGCTTTATTTTCTCCACAAATAGTCCAATGCCAAGTAAAGCTGTGAAAACACAAGCTGGAAATTTCATCATACACTAGTGCCAAAATAATCTAAATCTTGTGTGTGTGTTTTTCTTCTTAACATTTGGTGCAAATTCAAGCATTTATGTAGAAAAACTACAGTAGGCTCTGTCATTTGCTTCTGTAAATTCTTGGAGGAAAAAACTTGATTTTTATTTATAATAAATTCATATTCGAACTTACTTAAATCTGTTTTACATATTTTCAAAAAAATTATCACAGACTTTTAAAAGAGAGTCATTTTGTTTGTAGCTTGTCGACCAGGTTTCTACAAGGCATTGGATGGTAATATGAAGTGTGCTAAGTGCCCGCCTCACAGTTCTACTCAGGAAGATGGTTCAATGAACTGCAGGTGTGAGAATAATTACTTCCGGGCAGACAAAGACCCTCCATCCATGGCTTGTACCCGTGAGTAGTTTTGCTGCAACCCATGCCTCCATGTTTGTTTTGTTTTCTTCTTGTTACTGTGCTGTTTGTTTTTGTTTTAAAGCATTTGGCCCATTTCCTTCTGTTGCCCGTGTGCAAATTGAAAGCTTTCTCTGCTTCACTCCCCATGCTTGGCTCACCACAAATGCAACATTTATCACACAAAATGAATTAAATTTTAAAGCACTTCCTGCAACACAACCCCCTGAAAGAGAGAACATTTTCTGTGTCTTGTTTAGATCCTGCATTACATATGACAGGATAGGGGAGGTTATAGACAGGGGATTTATGTTTTTACATTTCTATTCCCTCTTGCTGTATGTTGGTCATAGGTCATAGGGAAAAAGGACTAAGAGTTATAAAACTAATACTAAAGTTTTCATAACTATTCACAAGGGTTTTGAACATAGTGATGAGTTACTTTGTTAGAATTTGTGAATGTATCCTTACCTTTGAGTTAAAACTCCGCCATTCACAGCTTGGGGAAGACAGTGTTCTTGAATCCATGTGTCTATAATATCATGGATCCTCTAAGGATGAACTGAAAGTTGATAATAAAGAAAGGATAGTTATTTACCTCATTCAGTTCCATTGTAAATTATCTATTTCCCTTGTAGTAGAAAACAGAAGTGAGGCTCATTAATCTTTGTTGAACTACTTTGCAGGACCTCCATCTTCACCAAGAAATGTTATCTCTAATATAAACGAGACCTCAGTTATCCTGGACTGGAGTTGGCCCCTGGACACAGGAGGCCGGAAAGATGTTACCTTCAACATCATATGTAAAAAATGTGGGTGGAATATAAAACAGTGTGAGCCATGCAGCCCAAATGTCCGCTTCCTCCCTCGACAGTTTGGACTCACCAACACCACGGTGACAGTGACAGACCTTCTGGCACATACTAACTACACCTTTGAGATTGATGCCGTTAATGGGGTGTCAGAGCTGAGCTCCCCACCAAGACAGTTTGCTGCGGTCAGCATCACAACTAATCAGGCTGGTGAGTACATACTAGATGCTTCTTACTCTTATCATATCACGTCTGAGTAATGGTTTTGACTCTGGGTGGAAAACTGGGCGGAAGGAAAAAAAGATTTTATAGAACCCCAGGATTTTGCCTTCTAACACATTTAAACAGTTATGGCACATTAAATAATTTAATTCTTCAAGTGAGAATAAACCATATTTGTTAGGTGATTTTTAAACTAGTTTATACCCATTGTTTCCCAATTTGAAATCCTTAAATATTTGAGGCTCTCAGATAGTAGTAGAGGGGCTCCTTGGGGGAAACATTTTTATATTTCAGAGAACTTAGGCAATGAATCTTAGCTTTAAAAAAAGTTATGCAGGATATGAAAAATTGTAAATATCTTCAGCTTAGTTAAAATTAGGTATTCCTTTGTTATTTCATACTTCTAAGAAGTTCTGTGTATTATAACTGATAGTTATAAATCTCTGATTGCTTAATAATAACTATGTAGATTACTTATGGATTTTACTTGTGGGATTTTAATTGTGAATCTCTCAAACATATAAATGGATTATATATTACATAGAAATAATGCCCCTTTGAGATATAACAATCATTTTTCAATATTGATAACTGATAAATGAGTAATAAACAGTTTTCTTTTGTATTCAAAATGTCTTGTACAAAGCTAAACTGATAGGTATTTGTTGTGCTTAAATTATTGCTACAAAATGTCAGAATTAGGTATACATCCCAAGAAGCTCAATTCAGAGATATTATTGTCTTATTTTTACACATACACACACACACACACACACACACACACACACACACAAACATTGGAGCCAAAGGGAGAGGGAAGAGAGAGACAAGATGCCACTCTGATTCTCCAGAGAACTACCGATTCTCCAGTTCTCTCCCAGGTGGGGTCACCTCTGAGCTGGTTGTCAAGATTGAGTATAAACTCGGCTTCTGCTCTTCATTTGGCTTACATTATGGACATCCCTCTGGTCCCTAGTGGGAATCACCCCTTGCTCTGAGAATATCAGAATGTGTCCTGGATGCTCTAGGCAAAAGGAAACCAGAGGTGACTAAATTATCTTATCACCTAGGTCTTCTAGTAGCCAAATCATGAGCCAAAAAAACTCACCACATTCTGTTTCCATCACCTGGCTTACTCAGAAAGGTTAGTTCAACTAGTAAAGACACAGAGTAAGTGTCATCTACAAAAGCAAGTATGCATCAATATGACTCTGCTGGTTGTTAACATTTTCATCTATTTATCTACTGGTTAAATGTAGTTCTAGCTGTTCCTGCAGGTTATTACAGAAATGCCTCTCTACTGGTTAATTTCTCAAATACACTGAGTAGTCCCCTAAGCTCAGTATGTCAGGTCCATCTCCATTCTCCCCATCATTCAGCAACCAAAGGGATAAATCTTTGCATAAGAGGGGTATACAGAGCCTTTGGCTAGCACCCGTCTTTCTTGAGGGGCCCCTGTCTTCCCCATGCCAATGGATAGATATTTTAAATATAAGCCATGGCAGAGTCCATCCATATTCAAATATGTATCTTTCTGATTCTAAATTTCTCTTTCGTTTCCACTTTGCTTCTGGTCTCATATATTGATGAAAATCTTATATTTTTACATTCCTCATGATGATAAGTAAACTTAATTTGTGGAAAATACATGAATTTTAAATGAAGTGCACTGAATCATTACTTTAATCTTGCTCACTGTATCTATAATTTCTCCCACTTGGAGCTAGATCCCAGACCAACCAGTATATGCTTTGCTTTGCTTCCGTTAATGGTATTTATACTTTGTAACTAATGATATTTAAAAGTTTATAACTTAGGTTTATTTAACTGTCTTCTATGGGAAAAAATGAGTACTGCAATACTGTTGCTATATATTGCATGATTATGGCTTCTCATCTTCAGCTAACACAGGAATTTTAACAAATTATGATCATGTGGCAAATGGTTTTCCGGAGCGCTATATTTCAAGCTGATTTACTACCTTGTTTAAAATTGTAGCATCAATCTGTGTTACAATTATCTCTTAAGTCAAACAGAATTGTATAAAAACAAACAAGAGCTCCTTATTTCCTATCTTATCATTCCCCTCTGGCTTTCTGACAATGCATTTATCAGGAAACTAATAGTTCCAAATATACACAGTAAATGAATCTAGGCAAAGTGGCAACCAAGATCAGGCCAAGACATTAAAAAATAAATGAGATTGATGCTTTGGCCCTCCCAGTTACAAATCACAGTTTAAGACAGATTCAGCAAAGGTGATAGAAGTTACTTACCCTAGTCTCTCTCCCATTTAAAAAAAATCACTAATGTGTTTATAATATGCACCACCAGGCATTTTATATATTTATTTCAGGATGTCTGTATCATTTTGTGTGCCTGGGGAGATAGAGGTCTTTGTTCTATCTTCAAATCTCCAGGGTAAGATATATAAGCATGATTAGAAGCAATGCCTTTTCTGAAGGGAGTGTTTCTTTGTTTTCCTTTATTTTTGTTCTTGTGAAGGTTAATGGACTGGTAGCCTTGAAAAATAAGCTCCCTACCACTGGAAGGATATGGCTGTGACAGATATGATGCCAGGGTGCTTAAAATCCTCCTAGCCTCTATCTTTGACGTGGATATAAAGGGGAAGCATGAATGTGTCCCTTTTAATTTAGTTTGTGAGATCGAGTTTGTTGATTCTTCTCTTGATGACATTGTAAAAGCATTGTGATGATCAAATGATAAGGCACCTTTTAAATTGTAGAAGATTATGTTGTAAATTCGGATATTAGTTCTCAGCTCTCAATACTTTCACAAAGTATGTCAGTGAGATAAGAAAGTAGGCCACCATATAAAGATTGTATCTGTGAATCCATCAGTCAAGTAAAGAAAGAATTGCAGATTACAAAACAAAAATCTTCAAACTTATAACGACATAAATTGCTGCTTTTTGTTTTCTTTCACAGAATGAGTATATTCATCTTTTTTTTTCTTCTGGACAAAAACAATCATTCCACTAGTGGAATATGCATATCTGTTCATTCTTAACTGCCATTATAGAATCTGCCGCTTTCCACTATTCTATAGCATATAATGATCTCAGACTAGAATAAGGAGCACTAATAGAGAATGTATGTGGCCTTGGGGTTTGGAGGTCCACCTCTACTCTTATTTTACTACTTGGATGAACTGATATCTGAGAAGCTTTTTCAACATTTCATCAAGACAGCAAAGTTCTGAGTAAATTGACATTTCCTCCCTTTACCAGTTTACCCTATTGGAATTCAGCATGTGTATGTACAATTTCTATCAAAAAATTGGATTCATTCACATGTGTGAAAATATTGCAATAGTGTGCATTATGCCTATATACCTTCACCCAGATTTCTCCTAGATTAATAATTTATTCCACGTGCTTTATCCGTCCCACCCCCATCTCTCTTTCTATGTAAATGTTACTTATTTCTGAACCACTTGCAGATATTATGACCTTTTCCTCCTGAACACTTCAGTGACAATTTCTTTTTTTTTTTTCTTTTTTTTTTTTATACTTTAAGTTTTAGGGTACATGTGCACATTGTGCAGGTTAGTTACATATGTATACATGTGCCGTGCTGGTGCGCTGCACCCACTAACTCGTCATCTAGCATTAGGTATATCTCCCAATGCTATCTCTCCCCCCTCCCCCCACCCCACCACAGTCCCCAGAGTGTGATATTCCCCTTCCTGTGTCCATGTGATCTCATTGTTCAATTCCCACCTATGAGTGAGAATATGCGGTGTTTGGTTTTTTGTTCTTGCGATAGTTTACTGAGAATGATGATTTCCAATTTCATCCATGTCCCTACAAAGGACGTGAACTCATCATTTTTTATGGCTGCATAGATATTCCATGGTGTATATGTGCCACATTTTCTTAATCCAGTCTATCATTGTTGGACATTTGGGTTGGTTCCAAGTCTTTGCTATTGTGAATAATGCCTCAATAAACATACGTGTGCATGTGTCTTTATAGCAGCATGATTTATAGTCCTTTGGGTATATACCCAGTAATGGGATGGCTGGGTCAAATGGTATTTCTAGTTCTAGATCCCTGAGGAATCGCCACACTGACTTCCACAATGGTTGAACTAGTTTACAGTCCCACCAACAGTGTAAAAGTGTTCCTGTTTCTCCACATCCTCTCCAGCTCCTGTTGTTTCCTGACTTTTTAATGATTGCCATTCTAACTGGTGTGAGATGGTATCTCATAGTGGTTTTGATTTGCATTTCTCTGATGGCCAGTGATGATGAGCATTTTTTCATGTGTTTTTTGGCTGCATAAATGTCTTCTTTTGAGAAGTGTCTGTTCATGTCCTTCACCCACTTTTTGATGGGGTTGTTTGTTTTTTTCTTGTAAATTTGTTTGGGTTCATTGTAGATTCTGGATATTAGCCCTTTGTCAGATGAGTAGGTTGCGAAAATTTTCTCCCATTTTGTAGGTTGCCTGTTCACTCTGATGGTAGTTTCTTTTGCTGTGCAGAAGCTCTTTATTTTAATTAGATCCCATTTGTCAATTGTGGCTTTTGTTGCCATTGCTTTTGGTGTTTAGACATGAAGTCCTTGCCCATGCCTATGTCCTGAATGGTATTGCCTAGGTTTTCTTCTAGGGTTTTTATGGTTTTAGGTCTAACGTTTAAGTCTTTAATCCATCTTGAATTGATTTTTGTATAAGGTGTAAGGAAGGGATCCAGTTTCAGCTTTCTACATATGGCTAGCCAGTTTTGCCAGCACCATTTATTAAATAGGGAATCCTTTCCCCATTGCTTGTTTTTCTCAGGTTTGTCAAAGATCAGATAGTTGTAGGTACGCGGCGTTATTTCTGAGGGCTCTGTTCTGTTCCATTGATCTATATCTCTGTTTTGGTACCAGTACCATGCTGTTTTGGTTACTGTAGCCTTGTAGTATAGTTTGAAGTCAGGTAGTGTGATGCCTCCAGCTTTGTTCTTTTGGCTTAGGATTGACTTGGCAATGAGGGCTCTTTTTTGGTTCCATATGAACTTTAAAGTAGTTTTTTCCAATTCTGTGAAGAAAGTCATTGGTAGCTTGATGGGGATGGCATTGAATCTGTAAATTACCTTGGGCAGTATGGCCATTTTCACGATATTGATTCTTCCTACCCATGAGCATGGAATGTTCTTCCATTTGTTTGTATCCTCTTTTATTTCTTTGAGCAGTGGTTTGTAGTTCTCCTTGAAGAGGTCCTTCACATCCCTTGTAAGTTGGATTCCTAGGTATTTTATTCTCTTTGAAGCAATTGTGAATGGGAGTTCACTCATGATTTGGCTGTTTGTCTGTTGTTGGTGTATAAGAATGCTTGTGATTTTTGCACATTGATTTTGTATCCTGAGACTTTGCTGAAGTTGCTTATCAGCTTAAGGAGATTTTGGGCTGAGACAATGGGGTTTTCTAGATATACAATCATGTAGTCTGCAAACAGGGACAATTTGACTTCCTCTTTTCCTAATTGAATACCCTTTATTTCCTTCTCCTGCCTAATTGCCCTGGCCAGAACTTCCAACACTATGTTGAATAAGAGTGGTGAGAGAGGGCATCCCTGTCTTGTGCCAGTTTTCAAAGGGAATGCTTCCAGTTTTTGCCCATTCAGTATGATATTGGCTGTGGGTTTGTCATAGATAGCTCTTATCATTTTGAAATACGTCCCATCAATACCTAATTTATTGAGAGTTTTTAGCATGAAGAGTTGTTGAATTTTGTCAAAGGCTTTTTCTGCATCTATTGAGATAATCATGTGGTTTTTGTCTTTGGCTCTATTTATATGCTGGATTACATTTATTGATTTGTGTATATTGGACCAGCCTTGCATCCCAGGGATGAAGCCCACTTGATCATGGTGGATAAGCTTTTTGATGTGCTGCTGGATTCGATTTGCCAGTATTTTATTGAGGATTTTTGCATCAATGTTCATCAAGGATATTGGTCTAAAATTCTCTTTTTTGGTTGTATCTCTGCCCGGCTTTGGTATCAGAATGATGCTGGCCTCATAAAATGAGTTAGGGAGGATTCCCTCTTTTTCTATTGATTGGAATAGTTTCAGAAGGAATGGTACCAGTTCCTCCTTGTACCTCTGGTAGAATTCGGCTGTGAATCCATCTGGTCCTGGACTCTTTTTGGTTGGTAAACTATTGATTATTGCCACAATTTCAGCTCCTGTTATTGATCTATTCAGAGATTCAACTTCTTCCTGGTTTAGTCTTGGGAGAGTGTATGTGTCGAGGAATTTATCCATTTCTTCTAGATTTTCTAGTTTATTTGCGTAGAGGTGTTTGTAGTATTCTCTGATGGTAGTTTGTATTTCTGTGGGATCGGTGGTGATATCCCCTTTATCATTTTTTATTGTGTCTATTTGATTCTTCTCTCTTTTTTTCTTTATTAGTCTTGCTAGCGGTCTATCAATTTTGTTGATCCTCTCAAAAAACCAGCTCCTGGATTCATTGATTTTTTGAATGGTTTTTTGTGTCTCTATTTCCTTCAGTTCTGCTCTGATTTTAGTTATTTCTTGCCTTCTGCTAGCTTTTGAATGTGTTTGCTCTTGCTTTTCTAGTTCTTTTAATTGTGATGTTAGGGTGTCAATTTTGGATCTTTCCTGCTTTCTCTTGTGGGCATTTAGTGCTATAAATTTCCCTCTACACACTGCTTTGAATGCATCCCAGAGATTCTGGTATGTCGTGTCTTTGTTCTTGTTGGTTTCAAAGAACATCTTTATTTCTGCCTTCATTTCGTTATGTACCCAGTAGTCATTCAGGAGCAGGTTGTTCAGTTTCCATGTAGTTGAGTGGCTTTGAGTGAGATTCTTAATCCTGAGTTCTAGTTTGATTGCACTGTGGTCTGAGAGATAGTTTGTTATAATTTCTGTTCTTTTACATTTGCTGAGGAGAGCTTTACTTCCAACTATGTGGTCAATTTTGGAATAGGTGTGGTGTGGTGCTGAAAAAAATGTATATTCTGTTGATTTGGGGTGGAGAGTTCTGTAGATGTCTATTAGGTCTGCTTGGTGCAGAGCTGAGTTCAATTCCTGGGTATCCTTGTTGACTTTCTGTCTCGTTGATCTGTCTAATGTTGACAGTGGGGTGTTAAAGTCTCCCATTATTAATGTGTGGGAGTCTAAGTCTCTTTGTAGGTCACTGAGGACTTGCTTTATGAATCTGGGTGCTCCTGTATTGGGTGCATATATATTTAGGATAGTTAGCTCTTCTTGTTGAATTGATCCCTTTACCATTATGTAATGGCCTTCTTTGTCTCTTTTGATCTTTGTTGGTTTAAAGTCTGTTTTATCAGAGACTAGGATTGCAACCCCTGCCTTTTTTTGTTTTCCATTTGCTTGGTAGATCTTCTTCCATCCTTTTATTTTGAGCCTATGTGTGTCTCTGCCCATGAGATGGGTTTCCTGAATACAGCACACTGATGGGTCTTGACTCTTTATCCAATTTGCCAGTCTGTGTCTTTTAATTGGAGCATTTAGTCCATTTACATTTAAAGTTAATATTGTTATGTGTGAATTTGATCCTGTCATTATGATGTTAGCTGGTGATTTTGCTCGTTAGTTGATGCAGTTTCTTCCTAGTCTCGATGGTCTTTACATTTTGGCATGATTTTGCAGCAGCTGGTACCAGTTGTTCCTTTCCATGTTTAGCGCTTCCTTCAGGAGCTCTTTTAGGGCAGGCCTGGTGGTGACAAAATCTCTCAGCATTTGCTTGTCTGTAAAGTATTTTATTTCTCCTTCACTTATGAAGCTTAGTTTGGCTGGATATGAAATTCTGGGTTGAAAATTCTTTTCTTTGAGAATGTTGAATATTGGCCCCCACTCTCTTCTGGCTTGTAGGGTTTCTGCCGAGAGATCCGCTGTTAGTCTGATGGGCTTCCCTTTGAGGGTAACCTGACCTTTCTCTCTGGCTGCCCTTAACATTTTTTCCTTCATTTCAACTTTGGTGAATCTGATAATTATGTGTCTTGGAGTTGCTCTTCTCGAGGAGTATCTTTGTGGCATTCTCTGTATTTCCTGAATGTGAACGTTGGCCTGCCTTGCTAGATTGGGGAAGTTCTCCTGGATAATATCCTGCAGAGTGTTTTCCAACTTGGTTCCATTCTCCCCGTCACTTTCAGGTACACCAATCAGACGTAGATTTGGTCTTTTCACATAGTCCCATATTTCTTGGAGGCTTTGCTCATTTCTTTTTATTCTTTTTTCTCTAAACTTCCCTTCTCACTTCATTTCATTCATTTCATCTTCCATCACTGATACCCTTTCTTCCAGTTGATCACATCGTCTCCTGAGGCTTCTGCATTCTTCACGTAGTTCTCAAGCCTTGGTTTTCAGCTTCATCAGCTCCTTTAAGCACTTCTCTGTATTGGTTATTCTAGTTATACATTCTTCTAAATTTTTTTCAAAGTTTTCAACTTCTTTGCCTTTGGTTTGAATGTCCTCCCATAGCTCAGAGTAATTTGATCGTCTGAAGCCTTCTTCTCTCAGCTCGTCAAAGTCATTCTCCATCCAGCTTTGTTCCATTGCTGGTGAGGAACTGCGTTCCTTTGGAGGAGGAGAGGCGCTCTGCGTTTTAGAGTTTCCAGTTTTTCTGTTCTGTTTTTTCCCCATCTTTGTGGTTTTATCTACTTTTGGTCTTTGATGATGGTGATGTACAGATGGGTTTTTGGTGTGGATGTCCTGTCTGTTTGTTAGTTTTCCTTCTAACAGACAGGACCCTCAGCTGCAGGTCTGTTGGAATACCCTGCCTTGTGAGGTGTCAGTGTGCCCCTGCTGGGGGATGCTTCCCAGTTAGGCTGCTCGGGGGTCAGGGGTCAGGGACCCACTTGAGGAGGCAGTCTGCCGGTTCTCAGATCTCCAGCTGCGTGTTGGGAGAACCACTGCTCTCTTCAAAGCTGTCAAACAGGGACATTTAAGTCTGCAGAGGTTACTGCTGTCTTTTTGTTTGTCTTTGCCCTGCCCCCAGAGGTGGAGCCTACAGTGGCAGGCAGGACTCCTTGAACTGTGGTGGGCTCCACCCAGTTCGAGCTTCCCCGCTGCTTTGTTTACCTAAGCAAGCCTGGGCAATGGCGGGCGCCCCTCCCCCAGCCTCGCTGCTGCCTTGCAGTTTGATCTCAGACTGCTGTGCTAGCAATCAGCGAGATTCCGTGGGCGTAGGACCCTCTGAGCCAGGTGTGGGATATAGTCTCGTGGTGCGCTGTTTTTTAAGCCGGTCTGAAAAGCGCAATATTCGGGTGGGAGTGACCCGATTTTCCAGGTGCGTCCGTCACCCCTTTCTTTGACTCGGAAAGGGAACTCCCTGACCCCTTGCGCTTCCCAGGTGAGGCAATGCCTCGCCCTGCTTCGGCTCGCGCACGGTGCGCGCACCCACTGGCCTGCGCCCACTGTCTGGCACTCCCTAGTGAGATGAACCCGGTACCTCAGATGGAAATGCAGAAATCACCCGTCTTCTGCGTCGCTCACGCTGGGAGCTGTAGACCGGAGCTGTTCCTATTCGGCCATCTTGGCTCCTCCTGAGTCTCCATATATTCCAGTGACAATTTCTTAAAAACAATAATGCTTTTACATAGTCTCAATATATTTATTAAAATCAAGACATTAGCATTGTTCTATACTATAATCTCATCTGAAGATACTAGTCAACTTTTGTTCATTGTTTCACTCATATCCAAATGGCAAAAACAAATTGATGTTCTGTTTACCTCCAGTTTCTATTTATAATAATAACATATACTGATATAATATAGTTCCCATCCATAAAAATAAATAAGTAATTTTCTGTAAATTCAAGGCAGATGCAAAAAAAAAAAAAAAAGTGGAGAAGGAAGAAGACCAACACTTATTGATAGGACTTTCCAGGTGCTGGATATGATGCAGGGAATTTCAGAGTTGCCATTCCATTCAAAAATGATCAGCAAATTATGATATTTAAAAGAGAGAACGTGACTTCATTTTATGTAGATTTTCGATAGAAGGTGCACTAATTTATGTAAAGGAAAAGATCTTTGAGGCTGTTAGCTATAATGAAGGAATTCCTATCCTCTGCTTTAGACAGAATGACCTCTATTATCTACTTAATTTGATGATCAAAGACAACCTCCTTCTTTTCCCCTTAGATAAACGCCTTCCTTTCTTCTGGCTGAAAATTGCCATCCATTACATGAAGGGATTAAACTGGAAATCCAATAATTATTTTTGTTTTTAATTTATTTTTTGGCATTCTGGGACTATAATTCAAAATGTTGTCACTAATATAATTTTAAACAATTAATTATTTTTGACCTTTAAGACCACCTATGGACTCACTTACTATAAAAAACGTTTATAGGCTTTCTCGTTCATGGTTTTATGGCCTTTTATTTCACAGAATAAAGCAATAGTATCCATTCGTTAAGAAAAGTAAATATCTTTAATAAATGTTAAATAAACAAGATATACTTAAAAAAAGAACTGTAAAATATTAGAGCCCTTTGACTAAATTTAGAATCCACACTAGGCTAGGTGTGGTGGCTCATGTCTGTAATTCCAGCACTTTGGGAGGCCGAAGCGGGTGGATCACTTGAGGTCAGGAATTCAAGACCAGCCTGGTCAACATGGTGAAACCCTGTCTCTACAAAAATACAAAAATTAGCCAGGCATGATGGCAGGTGCCTGTAATTCCAGCTACACGGGAGGCTGAGGCAGGAGAATTGCTTGAACCCAGGAGGCGGAGGTTGCAGTGAGCTGAGATGGCACCATTGCACTCCAGCCTGGGCGACAGAGCAAGACTCTGTCTCAAAAAAAAAAAAAAAAAAAAAGGAAAAAGAAAGAAAGAAAGAATCCACAGTATTTTTTTGCATTTGATAAAGAAAATATTTCTAAGTTTTCTGTAGTTTCATTCTGGAATATGTTTCCTCTAGCCACCTTATTTTTCTTTTGGAACTTAGTGTATGTAGATATGACAAAGAAATAACTCATGTTGAAGATATCAGTCAGGCTTCAGCATTTCTGAAGAAGCAAACATTTTAAAATAAAGGTAGAATAAATGCTTAGCTGAATCTGCCATTAAACTATGGCCACCTATTGGTATAGTCCCTATAGAACTGTATGTTGCCGTGTAATTATACTCCTTGGAAGTAAATTAAACACCAAAAGGATCTACATGAATTCTTTCAGAACATGAAGGTAGACATTTTTCAGCGCCAATGTAGCGAATCGGAAACTGTAAACATAATGAAAATCACCTAACAAAATAATGAACATCATATGACTTTAGTAATGTTCTATGATGCATCCTTCTCTTTGTTTCATTTTATGATTAATGAAACCTAAAAATCAAAGTCTTAACATTTTGTTTATCTCAACAAACAAATGACGTCTGAATTTGGCCCTGAGAGTATAAGTGGTTATATACATTATGATTTTCACAGTACATCATGCTTGACTGGCAATTCAGCTTCTTCCTGTTTTGAAATCAAGGCAGATACCTGTGCATCTGGGAATGTCACTGTGCAGTGATGTGTCATAGTGTGGCCAAGCCTTCCACATCATTTAACACATTAATGATGCCTCTCAGCCATCACACCCTGGTATGGAGGCACATTGCGTAACTGTAGAATGAGCAATAAGCTGTAGCAAAAGCAAAAACCATATATTGTCCTGACAGTTATTCAAAACCCTTATATGAGCTTAGAGGCCATAACAAAATGGAACATGAGCTAAGGAAGACAGTTGGAGAGCTTCATGAATCTAAACTGAATTTTCATTCCGTCTTCATTTCTGGTTTTATATACGACTCTAATTAATGGAGAAGACATGTACGTGGAAGGGTATGATTACAACTTTCATTCAAGAGTTTTCACTAGAAAAAGAATATTAATAACCAGTTAGAGGAGTAAATATAGTGTTAACTAAAGCACATGGAAATTAAGAAAGAATTAGACTTTTGATGCTAACTTGTTGTATGTTAACTATATTCCCCCAAGGGCAAAAAATATTTAATTCACAGAAAGTTTTCTCATCCTTATTTTCCAAGGAGAACATTTTTAGTCTCAAATCACAATAAAATCATATTTTATACTTTAAATGTGTTCTACCTCCCTAAAGTTAACTGAAATATAGTCCTTAGGATATAATAGCATCGTATGTGAGTAATTGAGAAATTTAATAAATGCAAGTATTTAGAAAGAAAGAAAATGTTCTGTTTCCAAAAGCAGATATATTACTACCACTGGCAAAACTCTTTCATAATAAATTCTTAATTATATTTCAGCATCTCCCAAAGTGTTATCTCAGTGTGAATAACCATCATACAGCTCAGCATTCTGACTTTATAATCCTATCAATATAGTACCAGTGTTCAAATAGAAAAAAAAAATACATCCCTTTCTTAAGTGACTTTATAGATATCTATCAGGAAATTATTGCAATAAGTATCCAAATTACAAAGACTATGACTATGAGGTATGGCACCCCTATAAGCAGGGGCCCTGACATTCTATACCATTCGCACCAAAGTAAAAGAATGCCAAGGCCAAAGAGGTGAGAAGTTCATATTTTCTGCTCCTTTTTATTATTATTAATTGCTGACCTAACTCTTCTTGACATGATTAGCACTGCACTCCAGTCCTTTATGTAATTATCTTATTCAATCTTACAACAATTTTATATGGCTATAAGTGAATAAGTGTCTTGTCCATGGCCGCACAACTCCAGAGCCCCTATCTACATATTCTTTTTCCTATGGGTTGCAAAGGAGAGGCTTTGCACAAAATCTAAGTAAGGCTGAAGAAAGAAATATATAAAGATGGTTATTTTATTATAGTAAAATCTTGACTGCCTGGTACACAGGTGGTGTGATTTCTTCTTTGAAATCAAAATTTCACATGATTGTATTTACTCTTAATCAATGCTAATTCAAAAGCACCCTCTTGACAATTCATCATCCAGAAATAACCTCTTACTCCTTTCCCTTTTCATTTCAATTGGAAAAAAAATAATTATAACAAATTGACAAAAAAAAAAAATCTGTCTCTGGTCACAAGTTTTTCCTAGGAAATAGCTTTAAAGGCAAGGCCATGTGCCTGAGTAAGAAGAGTTCTGGAATGTGTGTCCAAAGAGGTAAATATTCATCTTGATCCCACTCCAATTGGGCCTCAGAGTAGGTCAGAACTATTGCTTTATCTTTCTGTGAAATGTAACATTTGGACTAGACCATTTCTAAGTTTCTTTCCAATTATATATTCTAGGAAACTAAGTTAATGCACATTGTATCATGTACTTAAGAAAAAATAATCCACTGTTTATAAGTGAAGCAAATATGCCTTGGGAAAAAAAGGTATTTGAAAAACAAAGTGGAACAGGACAGTAGCAAAAGTCCAATTGTAAATTCAGGTACTGTCACTTAATAATGAAGTGACTATTTTTTGTATTTTTAAATTTGGTTTGTTTATGCATTCATTTGCAATTTTGTTTAGAAATGAATTTAAGGGAGTTATTGGACTAAACTTACTGGCATCTTTGTATCCTTTTTGATTATTGGTACAGTAAGTCCTACACATAGATTGTTGTGAGGAGTAAATAAAATGAGAGAGCATTTGTGACTGGGAAAGGGCTTGAATAAGTTGTGCTCTGTCTCCATAATGATCATGCAGATCTTCCCGTGTCTGGGGGAAATAGAAACTCTTTTTTTTTTAATTAAAAATGTGAATAAATATATATATATTTTTTATTTTATTATTATTATACTTTAAGTTTTAGGGTACATGTGAACAATGTGCAGATTAGTTACATATGTATACATGTGTCATGCTGGTGTGCTGCACCCATTAACTCTTCATTTAGCATTAGGTACTTCTCCTAAAGCTATCCCTTCCCCCTCCCCCCACCCCACAACAGTCCCCAGAGTGTGATGTTCCCCTTCCTGTGTCCATGTGTTCTCATTGTTCAATTCTCACCTATGAGTGAGAATATACAGTGTTTGGTTTTTTGTTCTTGCGATAGTTTACTGAGAATGATGATTTCCAATTTCATCCATGTCCCTACAGAGGACATGAACTCATCATTTTTTATGGCTGCATAGTATTCCATGGTGTATATGTGCCACATTTTCTTAATCTAGTCTATCATTGTTGGACATTTGGGTTGGTTCCAAGTCTTTGCTATTGTGAATAGTGCTGCAATAAACATAGGTGTGCATGTGTCTTTATAGCAGCATGATTTATAGTCCTTTGGGTATATACCCAGTAATGGAATGGCTGGGTCAAATGGTATTTCTAGTTCTAGATCCCTGAAGAATCGCCACACTGACTTCCACAATGTTTGGACTAGTTTACAGTCCCACCAACAGTGTAAAAGTGTTCCTATTTCTCCACATCCTCTCCAGCACCTGTTGTTTCCTGACTTTTTAATGATTGCCATTCTAGTAAGATCAAATTCTGATACATTTCTTTGGTGTGATTGGCTTAGGCCCCAAGTTTTTTTCAAAATCGCAATTCATATCTATAATGCGTGACAATCCTCAATGTAATAGGTCATTCTCGTGTTGTTCGTTGCACACATATACATATGTATATATAATGTATGTATATCCATTGATTCTGTGCCATCACTGAGGTGCCCTACATAGGATGTAATGGAAATGACTGATTGAAAGTTATATATATTGGCCTATATCTCTTAGTTGGGCTAGAACAAGAACCAAAGGCACACATAAAATAAGAAATTGATAAGACTAATAAAAGGACAACCAACACTTTGGGCAGCCGAGGCGGGCAGATCAGGAAGTCAGGAGATCAAAACCATCATGGGAAACATGGTGAAACCCTGTCTCTACTGAAAATACAAAAATTAGCTGGGTGTGGTCGTTGGTTGTGCATCTGTAATCCCAGCTACTCGGAAGGCTGAGGCAGGAGAATACTTTGAACCTGGGAGGTGTAGGTTGCAGTGAGCCGAGACTGCACCACTGCACTCCAGCCTGGTGAAAGAGTGAGACCCTGTCTCAAAAAAAAAAAAAAAAAAAAAAAAAAAAAAGCACAATCAAGCAAAGATATCGGCAAAGAGTAAAGAAAAGAGACGGTGATACGGGAAGAAACCAGGTGGCAACAAATGTTCTAATAATCATTCTGGATAAAGAGTTAGAAGAATACACTTTACCAAGGCCCAGGTTGTGACAGGAGACAAAGATTTTACAACTACTTAGGAAATGCTCACTTTTTAATTTTTAATCACTAGACTGTTAGTGGTTGACTTTTTCTACAAGTTTATTTTAATAGATTCACTGTAATTCCAAGATGAGAATGTCAGATGACCCCAAAATTAATTGTGCATACCATAGATATTTTAAAGAAAGAAAATTTTTGCATCTTTACTTTTATTTGTTTAGCTTATCACGCTATTTGAATATACTTTGTGGGCAAAGTTCGTCTATCTTTGTCCACCTAAGGAGGGCAATTGGGTATATATCCTCTAAAATGAAGTACATGTTATGGATATTTATACAGATTTTCAACATATCAAAGAATAACATTCTCTATTTCTGTTTCAAGTAGTAAAGCTTGTTTTATTTCTCTTCTATTGAAATGATTTCAAAAGGTTTTTCATAGTTGATATCTGGGATACATTGCCTACTGTTCCATTAACTCCCAGTTAAAATAAAACAACTAGGCTAAGAACATAGCATGCTTTTCTCTTGGTTTGAATTGATATAGTAAAAAACTTCAGTTTAATTTGACATTTTTATATCTGAAAAGTTTGAAAAAAATCCCATCCATCTTCCCTGAGGTATGTTTCCATTCTAAGCTGCTTTTACAAATTCTTATTATTGCAGATATAAGATAGATGTCCTTATTAAAATCCTAATATAAAATGGCTAGAAGAAGAACTAGGTTTTACAACTATTCATATGTGTATGTGTTTATATTTGTATATTCATGTGCGTGTGTATATATGTACATGTATAAATTAGGAATGTAAAGATCTAGAAATAATAAAGTTATAGAAAGTATATGGAGTCTAACAGATATGAAAGAAGAGAGACTTTTTTTTACTAAAATATTTGAACAGGATAGTCTTTTTCTTAACCATCTCATCTGTTAAATAAGGGTTATGGCTACATTGAGATATTGTGAAGTCAAGAAAAAAGCATATATAATACCTTGTGTGGTGCTGGCTGCTTATTAAGTGATCAATACTTGGTAGTTAATATCTTTCATAAACATTTGGAACATTTAGCAGTAAATGTGGTCTAAAAAAAAACCCATTTAGATAACTCCAGGTTTTCTTTGGCAATAAATAACACACTCAATTACTTGCCTTTTTCTGTTCCCAAAGCATTGACTAAGCCCTTAGTATGAGCCAGTTACTATACTGGATCTACTGGGATAAAATGATGATTAAGATGTAGTCACTACTTTCAAGGAGCTCTCAATTTAGGACATCTTAAAGGTTTCATGAATACAGCATGAAGTTGATTGGTTTGGCCAAGAAAAGACAGGCAAAGCCAGCTGCCAAGAGAATTCAAAAAGCATCAACAGCTCAATGAAGCCCCCCAGTGAAAGAGATTGGTCTTGAATTCACAGATTATATGACATTAAGTATAATAGTTTTATCTTTTTTTCATTACTAAAGCAGAGGAAAAAAAGAAAAACCTACTGATTACACATGATGCTAAAAAACTCGCATGCTGTCCCAAAGTTTTTCACTAAAGAGAAGGAAAGTAAATGAAATGCTTTAAGTTATGTACAAATTCGATGATAATTGCATGTGTATTTTAATGATCTCTCAAATGCATGTATCTGGTTTATGAAAGCACATAGAATATGTGAACTTATAACAATGGGACAAGAGCAAATGTTTAAAGTTGTGCAGTAAAACTCACCACATTAATCTGACTTATTTGTCTATCTGTCCATTTACTTACCTATTTGATTAAGCTTATTGTTATTAGTTTGGAATTAAATATTCTAGTTAAATAGACAGTTACCACATAAAGTATATAAAACTAGAATGCATTAAAATATAATCAACAGTAATTAGTATGAAAGTGACTCCTTATTTCAGATAAAGACAATGTCTAAAGTTTAGAAATGTTTAGAATAATCATTTTAATTATGAATTATAATTGTTTTGAAGATACCTGGCCAGAATTTGACACTAACATAATAGTAAGTCAGGTTTTACTAGTTTGCTAATATTTGTTAAGACATACATGTTTACAAACCTTGCCTATTTGTGAAAGTTAAAAGATATTGCTTTCTCTGTATGAAAAGTAAAAACGATTAAAATGAGTTTCAAAAAAGATATAAAGGAAAAATCCACTATTTTATCTATGTTAATCTACATGCACACTTTGTTGAGAAGTAAGAATTTAGCTGTCTTGTTGGGTAGTACTTAAGGAGATTTTATAATTTATGTACATTTCACATGTAATACTGGTATTTACACACTATTTGCTGTATTTTTTAGCACTGTATGATGTTTTTTAAATTGTGATACATTTTCAGATAATATATATTCCTCTACTATCAGTAGCCATTTCTTCTTTAGATGAACTGGCAAACATTATATATTGTGTGTGTGTGTGTATATACGTTATATATTGTGTGTGTGTATATATATATACATACATATATACACATATATACACATATATACACATATATACACACATATATATACATATATATACATATATACACATATATATACATATATATACATATATATATACATATATATATATGCATATCTTTGGATTGTTGCAGTGGCCTGAGGGAATTGTTGCCCACATTCAAAATCAGAATATTTATTATTTAAACTAACAACCAATACTGTACTGTACTGTACTGGGCATTTTCGAGATATCATTTAAGCCTTAAATCAACCCTGTAATGGAGACATTATTACCCTTATTTTTAGAAGAAACTTATCAAGAGTTTGCCAGTCCTATTTATCTAACTCAAGTTGCTAGGGAGAATTTGAACCTAGATCTTTCCAGTGCACCAATAATTTCCAAATTTCAGTAAACAACTTACTGCTTTTAGGAATTTTGCTTCATCCATATGCCACCAGGACTCCTACAACATAATGTGCTTAAATCAAGCCTCTCTTTTTTTTGGTTTTGTTTTGCTCTGAAATGTGAAAACAGTTTGCTCCTATAAATAGAAAACTAATGTTACTTGCCAAAAATTTATGACTAATTAGATAATAATTGCTTGTCCACATAACACCTAAAATTCTTTCACCAAACACCATGAGTAAACTTGGAGCACTATGAGTAATCTGCTGATTCCTATCAACACTACCTCACTGGCAATTGCTTATAAGGATCACTAAACCACAGGCCATCCCATTTCAGCTAACTGCAACTCTATGCTTTTAGTTATTTCAGTCAAAGCTGTTGGAGTCATTTGGCGCTTCTCTTTCTCTCAAACTGTATATCTACATCAGCATAGTCTATACAACATGCCTTCAACATATCACAAGAATCTCACCACTTCTTACAAGATCCATTGCTACCACCCTAGTAGCATCATCTTCCCCAGATTATCGAAAATGCTCCCAACTGCATTTCTTTTTTCACCCTTGCCTTGAGAACACATGGACACAGGGAGGGGAACATGAAAAACAAGCCTCTTATAACTATACTCATGTTTATTATTATTTATTTTATTGCATAAATTAGCAATGTTTGCAGTTTTTTAAATTATGTCATAACTAATCAAATTTCCTGTGTAATTTCAAATATTTAATTCACTTCTCATGTATTATTTCCAAGGTGACTGGCATTACTTTTTAATTGACCAATGACAAAATTTAACACTCACTTCTCATATGAACAGATAGGTTTGTTTAAAAAATGGCTTAGGCAGGAATTGCTAGTGAACATGTGCCCTTAAATGCTAACTCACAATTATGGCAACTTACTGAGTCAATGGTTTGGGCACTTGGCAAGTCTTTCTTCAGTTAACATCTTGCATATAAAATATTCATTTTCAGAATTTTACCTAGAGTGCACATATGGTTTTTCAACTCAAAAGACTACACTAAAACAATTGGAAAAAAGATGCCATTAGTGTTGCCCAAGGTACAGAGAAGGCCTTCTTGTATCCTTTGCCTTTCTTTGGAAATAAAGACCTATGAATTCCTAATCTATACTTTTTGTTAAGATCCCTTTTTAAAGGGTGTCATGTGTAGCCTAAGATATAGCTTGAAAGTTGATATGAGTGGTGCTTTGTGACAGAACCACAGATGTTCAGTACATGATATATTTATTTTTTACCCCAGTGGCCCTTATAAAAAGGGCTAGAAAATCAGCTTATAACAAGCCAACTAATGACATGATATAGAGAGGCCCCTGGTTCAATGACTGTTAGTACAGCTGTGTCCCATTACATATTAGATACCTAGAACATACTTGCATTCTGAATGGCATTTATCTTTTGAATTTCAAACATTCCTACCATAAATAAGGATTTTATGCTTTTCACAAATGTTTCACAGTTTAGTCTAGGGAATACTGAAAGGTTGCTTTTACTTAATGAAATTTACCCTTTAAAGTTTCCTGGAGCTAAGACGAACATTTTCTGAGCGCTCACCTCAACAGACCTGCCTCACTCTCCTCTATGCCCATTCTCTGCTATCCCCTTAGCCTGGAGAGGTGATAATAACTTGAGTTTCACAAAACCAACAGTGTGGGGACCACATGAGAGCTGGCTTTTGATCATGGTTTAATAATTCCCTCTTTGTTACTTCTCCCTAATAAGAGGTATCTGAGTCTAACATAGAATTGCTACACTTGTGCTGTGGGAAAAGCAATATTTTTATATGTATTTTGTTTGCAAAATGCACACTATGTCTAAAAATTACTTTAAGTGAAAATATTTTCACAACCCCCTCAAGGTCCTGATTATAATTTGAAGGTAATAAAGACTCATACTTCTAAAGTAGAGTAGTATGACACCTTAAGAAATGTTATGTGAGATGACCTCACTTCTGAAATAATGTTTCAGAATTGTTTCGTTTTAAATAAGTGTGATGGTCCATCTCATCTTCTTCAAGCGCAAGTAGCTGCTATTAATCCAGAAGATCTTCATTTCTTTTTGGGTTGAACATATCTGCTATCTTGAGGAATGAACCATGAAAAAGAAGGAAAGTCATTTCTTGTGATTCAGGCAGGAACTCAGTCATTTTCCTTTTGTCCTTCAAATAATTGTTGAAATGGTGGGAGATTAGCCTAGATAGTGACTGCTGCAGTAACAACTGCTGCCTAGAAGTGAGCTTTATTCCACCTCCATGTAAAGAAAGCAGCTGTCTTTCTATTGCAGTTGGCGCCAGGCAGCTGCTTTTACTTTCTGTATTTCTTTATAGAGCCCTTCGTCTTAAATGCAGTCACCTGCACACAGCCTACACTTTTTTTAGTCACAAAGGCTGCAACAAGAAAGCTTCATATGACTCCTGTAATGAGCAATGCAGAAAGTAATATGGAAAGATGTTCCTTGAGCATTGTATAAGGAGTGTACTGGGTGGACGTTGGGAGATGGGGCAAGGGAGAAGGAGTTTAACATGTGTGATTGGGTGTTTGTGAAAAGCACCAGATTGTCAGATGGCAGGATGTGTACAACATGGGATGAGTGGCAGGAAAGGCTCCAGTGGTCAGTTCTTGTCCTGCACAAAAAATTCACAGCACAATGAGAACCAAAGATATCTCCAATAAATGAAGTTTTACTTCTTCCCAGTTAAAAGAAAATATTCTCATTGACCAAGGTTATATTTACTAACTCAAACTAAGATTATAGTCTGGTGTATGTTTCAATCTCCTCTTTCCTCCTAGAGTTTTACTAAAGAAGATTTATGCAAACCCAAACTGTGATAAGATTTGTAAGATGATTGACTGTGGCACCAAAGAAAATTACTCTTATCATTTCATCTTATATAAAGCTAGGTATCTATCTACTCTCTTTTTAAACATAGGTTTTGGTTTCATGCATAGATTTGCAAAGTCATTTTTCAATTATATTAGTCCACATATTAATGAAGTTTCTCCAGAGAAGCAGAACCAATAGACTGTGTGTATCTATCTATCCATTGAGAGAGAGATAGAGAGGGGGCAGGGAAAGAATACACCAATAGACTGTGTGTATTTATCTGTCTATTGAGAGAGAGATAGCGAGGGGGCAGGAGACAGAGAGAGAGTGAGAGAGAGAGAGTTTAAGGAATAGGCTCATGTGATTGTGGAGGCTGCCAAATCCACAGACTGCAGGGTAAGCTGATAGGCTGGAAACCTAGGGAACAGCTGACATTGCAGCTTGAGTCTGAATGCACTCTGAAGCTAGGATTCCCTTGGTCTTAAGGGTTCTCTATTTTTTCTCTTAAGGCCTTCAACGGACTGAATGAGGCCCACACACATTATTGGAGTACAATCTGCTTTACTCAAAAGTGTGCCGATTTAAATGTTAATATCATCTGAAAAACACCTTCACAGTGACCCCAGACTGGTGTTTGACCAAATATCTGAGTACCATGGCATAGCTAAGTTGACATATAAATTTAACCATCATAGTCAGTGGTGTGTGTGCGTGTGTGTGTGTGTGTGCATGCACATGATTGCTGTTTCTCTTTTGAGTTAATTTCTAGACTATATTTTTAAAAGAAATGTCAAGATAAATTGATATAAAGAAAATACTAATCTTTTAATTTCACCCACTGACCATATTGGAATTCTCTTTTAATGGATCTTCATTCTTCCTTGAGAGTCTTTTTTTAGGTTTTTCTTGGAAGACAATGCCCAGTGCATCAGAAAGTGTCCCCTCCCCTATTCCTATCTCAAATATATTCAGTTTGAAAATCTCACTTGGATGACCACTTATCAATAGCAATGTAAACTGACAAACTGCTTTGTGGAAAAGGCACACTATAGGTTTTTTTTATTGGTAAATATTTTCATGTCAACATTACCCTTTTGGAGATCACCTTCTTATGTGCCTTCTGTGCATAGAATTTCAGGAATAGTGTCAGGCCTAATAAGACAGTCTTCACTACACTGTTTCCCTTTACCGACCTTTGAGAGTCATCCCTATTTTCAGGACAGTGCTGTGGCTGCTATTAGCACCACTTGAGGGCTTGTTAATCATCTTTGGGTACTGCTATTGATGAAAACTCTCAGCTCAGTGATTTTTGAAACCAGAATTGCTTAAAATATCATTCAGAGGCCTTTCAGAACACCAGTATTTACCTACTCCAAGCCAATCCTACAGATGCAGAGTCTCTGAAAATAAGCATAGGGATCCCTAGTAGCACATGCATTTTTAAATCACTCTACAGATGAATCTGGTCAACAAGCACTTGGGAAGTTCTTAGGAAGAAAAACTCTTTCCCAGTTGCAAGGCTGCAGACAGGCAGAAAATTTATAGCTCCTTCACATTACAGTTTGTGCTTCCATGAACTGCCTGGCCTGAGGCCATGCAAATTGAACTTGCAGAAAGAGAAGTTGGATAAACCCTTGTTAAAAAACCAGATATATTTATACTAATATTATCTTGGCCTCAAAAAGGCAACACTTGTTTTTCTAGATTTTATGCAAATTTAAGATATTGTCATTATCTTCTCAATATCCTCTAAATGTCTTTAATTCTAAAGAATTATGTTAAACCTGCTGAAGAGTAATGCTGAGATGGCCAATCAGTGTAATACAGAGATTGTACTTAAAACTGTTCATTAACTAATACTGAGTTATCTTTTCTTCTGCATTTTCATCACTCCTTGCTACTTTTCAAAGATTTCCTTAATATTTGTTTTATAAAGTGACTTTACTTCCTAACAATGAAATTTAATTATTCAACTTAATTCCAACAATATTTGTTGCATACTGTTATGTGACCAACACTGTGCTGTATGTTGTGGTGAGAGATAATGATAATTGATACCTACTTTCTACCCTCGATGAATTTATAATTACCTCAACATTTATTTAACTAAATATAGTTTGTGCAAAGAAAACACACCATAATAAAGAAAAAGAATGATTATTCTCTGTCTGAGAATAGAGAAAGGTTTTCTTGAAGAGGTGGGGTTTGAGGTGGACAATAAAAGGTAAAGAAGGGTTTAACAGGAGCCAGCATGTTGAAGACTGGAAAAAGGAATAAAGAGGTTGGGAAGATAATTGTCCCCTCAGATATAGCCTTTCAGCTGAGGCAGAGTAGAGGGGAAGACTGAAAGGGCAATGGTGGATGGAATGGTGGCTTAAGGTCTACAATCTTTTGGGGGGATTTTGTTAGTCCGCTGGAGTGGACACACACTTACATTTCCAAACATATTTAGTCATAGATACAAAACATAATGCAAATAAAGGGGCTACAGGCATAAGAGCAGATACAACATAGCTTTTCACCTTGGTTTGATTTTCCACAGGGCAACACTTGACTGTCTGTGCAGCAAGGGCCCTGCCAGACTTGGAAACATAGACTAATGTTGCTGCACCATTGCTTGTTAGTACTCAGTTCTGTGTCAAGAATTCCAGAAAAAATAACACCAAGAAATTGTGTTCATCAATTTAAGGGACTATTCACACACATTGACTTCCTTTTGGTTCCTGAACCTACTTAGCATCAACAATACCAACAAGTAGAGAGGAATAGAGGACAAAGCGGTATGACTGTCCTCATGTCCTTGAATAGGGTCTCTGCCTCCACTTTCCCTTGAAACAGAAAGCCCATTTCCCTGCAGAGCCTGCCATGCAATTTCTTCACCTGGGCAGAAATGCATGGGTATTTTTTCTTCATTTTATAGGTAGCGGTGCTTGTGTATGATATAGATGGTTTGGGATGGGATGGTTTAGCAGAAATGCTTCTTGATTTTTGTGTAGAAAAGTGACACAATCAGGCCTATGACTTAGAAAAATAAATGAAGATGCAAGGAAAACAAACCAGTTGACACACTAATGATAGCCCAAATGAGAGATTATAAAGGTCTGAAATAAACCTGGGGAAATGAGGGAGATGACCTTTCAGAGATTAAAACCAGAATAATTAAAACCATGACCAGTTCTGTGTCATGCATTTGGGAAAAAAACAGAACCAATACATTCATCAGTTTAAGGGAATATTTACACATATTGAGTTCCTTTTGGTTCCAGAACCAACTCAGCATCAACAATACCAACAGGCAGAGGGGAATAGAGGATAAATTGACCAGAATTGAATAAAGGAGCAAGGGGGGAGTTGTAGCTCACTCAAACATGAGAATAATTTAAACACATGTGGAAGAAAGGATGATAATACCATTGATCAAGATCAAAAACATGAACGCATAATAAGATAATATACAGCATTTTAGAATTGATGAAATTAAGGCAAAAAACAGGTATTCTATGCGGGTGGTTGTACAAAGTAAGCAATTGACCACTAAGATCTGATTCTTGAGAAAGATCTTAAATATAATTTGTATATTTGAAAGCCATGAAAGTTGAAGAGAAAAAGTGTAGATAATAGAGCATGGAATTTAATTTTAAAATAGCATCAAGGAAAAGATCTTGAGAACAGCAATGGATACCTGCTGAGTATAGACGGAGTCAGCTTTGGAATCAAAGCCCAGACTTTAACTGGGAAACAGTTATCTACAAAGTCATTTATGAAATCTTACTCTGTTTTTGCCCTCTCACTTAGTCCTCCTCAAGGAATATAAGCCTAATGAGGGTGGGGAATTGTTGTTCACTTTGTTCATTAGTATGTATTTTGTTCATTTTGTTCATTAGATGTGTTTCCTCAGCAACTAAAATGTATTGGATATTTTTAAAAATTCTATCAAATGAAGATGTAGCCAGTTAGCATGTCCCATAGATTCCACCAGCACAAACTCTCTTCTATTTCTATAACATTCTTCCTATCTTCACTTGATATTACTAACTTCAGGTTCTCATCAACCCTCATCTTGATTATTACAGTAGCCACTAGTCTGCAGTTGCGTTTCCACCTCATCTGTTTTACAAAGTACCTTAATCCAAGTGCTTTACTGTGACTTACAAAGCTCTCCATGAACTGTTTAAAGACTACCTGCCAATTAATACCTTTCCACTTTATGCTCCATGAATACATTTTCTTGTAAACTTGCATAAACTCGCTACAGGTTCATGCCTTTTAAAATCTATTTATATACACGTATGGAAATTTCAACTATTTCCCTTCTTTACCTGTTCATTTCTCATCTCTCAAAAGTCAGTTCTTGAGTCACTTCCTGCAGGATGTTTCCCATTTCTTCACTAGAGTGAGCTGGCCTCCCGTGTACCCACATAGGAATCAGTTTCTAGCTCTGTCACTGCTCTTATAGGTGAAGTGACTCCTCAAAGGCAGGGACCTAGCTTTATCCATGTTTGCTGAACTCTTGATAAAATCATTGTCAGATTAATCACATTAGCATATAGTTTCAATCACATAACTTAGCTCCTTTAAATAGTGGCTTCCATTACAGAGGAGAAAAAAACAAAAACAAAAAAAAACTTCTTAGCCTCGAAATTAAGATTCCTCTTATGTGGCATCACACAAATTTCCAATCATAATTTCCTTTACTCCTTGTTACAAAGATAGATATATCTCCTTCCTATTCTCCAGGATATTTTGAAAATTTGGTAACCTTCACCTAAAATACAATTATTCTATATGCATGTGTTTAAAATTTTTTAATTCTGCAAGACTCAGACTAAGTGCCAGCACTTTGTTAATTTTTCTCTAATTCTTCTCAGCTGGAAATAGTTGTCCTTTTATCACAACTCCCATAGGGCTACAGAATCGTTTATCTGTATTTCTCTTATGGTGCTCCTCTGTTCTAATTTGTATTAGAATGCTACTTCATATGCATTTAATCTTTCTTACTGCACTCTAGGTTCCTTGAGGGCGTGACCAAGGCATGGCTCACATTTGTCTCCTTCATAGTGGCTAACTTGGGCCTTATCCAATAGGCATTTTTATATACATTTTAAGTGAGAGAGCTGTAAGAAGAAGAAGAGCTGAGCAGAAGATTTCAGTCCTAGTGGTTTCATATAATTAGATCAGAATACTAAAGTGTGTGCTGTTGGTAGTTGTGGAGGTATGGGGTTTTTTAAAAAAATTATTATTTTAAGAGAAAACTGAGTGAAATTTGGGGGCAGAATTTAGATCATAAGTGTTAGAGTACATTATTTAAAGCAATCTTCATTAATTAAAAAAAGACAAAGCAGAACTATAAGGTAGTATATTAGTTAGGGCACTCCAGAAAAACAGAACCAGTGGGTTATGTAGAGATATGTAAGAGGAGATTTATGATGGGAATTTGTTTGCATAATTATGGAGGCCAGAAAGTTCCACAATCTGTTGCCTGGGAGCTAGAGAAATAGAAAAGACTGATACAATTCAGTCTGAGGCCAAAGGCTTATGAACCAGGGGAGTCAATAGTATAACTTCCAGTATGAAGTCCAAGGCCTGAAAACTGGAGGGTCTGATATTGTAATTCTTAGAATTAGCAGACCCAAGAAGCTGGATCTTCAATATCTGAGGTCAGGAAAAGATAGATTTCCCAGCTCATGAAGAGAGAGCAAGTTCACTGCCCTCTGCCTTGTTCTATTTAGGCCTTCAATGGGTTGGATGATGCCCACCCACCTTAGTGAGGGTAGATCTTCTTTACTCAATCCATCTATTAAAATGCCCGTATCTTCTAGAAACACCCCCATAGATTCACCCAGAAAAAACAAAAAACAAAAAACAAAAAACGCTTCACCAGCAGTATGAGCATCCCTTAGCCCAGTCAAATTGACACATAAAATTAACCTTCATAGTTAGCAACCATTAATTTTCCAGTTTTTCAATGTGGAAAACTGAGGCAAGGATGTGAAGTAAGATGCCTAGTTCACACTGGTGTTGCTGACTCACAATTTGAACTCAAGTAATCTGACAGCTGTGCCCACATTCTTAGTCATCGTTTTCTCTGCTATTGAAGCGTGTCATGGAAGGGAAGAAGAATATGAATTAGCAACTCAATGACAAGAGAGACTGGGTTTCTTGAGAACTCAAGGAATGGTAAGAAGGAATGGAAACAACAAAAAAAGAGCCCGCATCACCAAGTCAATCCTAAGCCAAAAGAACAAAGCTGGAGCCATCAGGCTACCTGACTTCAAAATATACTACAAGGCTATAGTAACCAAAACAGCATGGTACTGGTACCAAAACAGAGATATAGATCAATGGAACAGAACAGAGCCCTCAGAAATAATGCCACGTATCTACAACTATCTGATCTTTGACAAACCTGAGAAAAACAAGCAATGGGGAAAGGATTCCCTATTTAATAAATGGTGCTGGGAAAACTGGCTAGCCATATGTAGAAAGCTGAAACTGGATCCCTTCCTTACACAACTAATTTATACAAAAATTAATTCAAGATGGATTAAAGACTTAAATGTTAGACCTAAAACCATAAAAACCCTAGAAGAAAACCTAGGCATTACCATTCAGGACATAGGCATGGGCAAGGACTTCATGTCTAAATCACCAAAAGCAATGGCAACAAAAGCCAAAATTGACAAATGGGATCTAATTAAACTAAAGAGCTTCTGCACAGCAAAAGAAACTACCATCAGAGTGAACAGGCAACCTACAAAATGGGAGAAAATTTTCGCAACCTACTCATCTGACAAAGGGCTAATATCCAGAATCTACAATGAACTCAAACAAATTTACAAGAAAAAAACAAACAACCCCATCAAAAAGTGGGAAAAGGACATGAACAGACACTTCTCAAAAGAAGACATTTATGCAGCCAAAAAACACATGAAAAAATGCTCACCATCACTGGCCATCAGAGAAATGCAAATCAAAACCACAATCAGATACCATCTCACACCAATTAGAATGGCAATCATTAAAAAGTCAGGAAACAGCAGGTGCTGGAGAGGATGTGGAGAAATAGGAACACTTTTACAATGTTGGTGGGACTGTAAACTAGTTCAACCATTGTGGAAGTCAGTGTGGCGATTCCTCAGGGATCTAGAACTAGAAATACCATTTGACCCAGCCATTCCATTACTGGGTATATACCCAAAGGACTATAAGTCATGCTGCTATAAAGACACATGCACACCTATGTTTATTGCAACAATATTCACCATAGCAAAGACTTGGAATCAACCCAAATGTCCAACAATGATAGACTGGATTAAGAAAATGTGGCACATATACACCATGGAATACTATGCAGCCATAAAAAATGATGAGTTCATGTCCTTTTTAGGGACATGGATGAAATTGGAAATCATCATTCTCAGTAAACTATCGCAAGGACAAAAAACCAAACACCGCATGTTCTCACTCATAGGTGGGAATTGAACAATGAGAACACATGGACACAGGAAGGGGAACATCATACTCTGGGGACTGTTGTGGGGTGGGAGGAGGGGGGAGGGATAGCATTAGGAGATATACTTAATGCTAAATGACGAGTTGATTGGTGCAGCACACCAGCATGGCACATGTATACATATGTAACTAACCTGCACATTGTACACATGTACCCTAAAACTTAAAGTATAATAATAATTAAAAAAATAACAAAATACATTAGTTGTATATAGACAAAAAAATAAAATAAAATAAAAAAAGAAGGAATGCAAACAACAAAGTAGAAATGAATAAGGAAGTCTCTTTCTCTCAACATTGAGAAAAACAGGAAGAAAGTATAGGAGAAACTAAAAAGTCAAATTACCTGAAACAGGTTGTGAAGTGAATTGGGCAAAGTGTTAAGAAGTTGCTAAGACTTGAAATAAAACAGTACAGTAGCCCCTCAAACTGGTACTGCAGTTTTTCATCTTTTCTGTGCACCTAGACAAAACATCTACATTTTGGTAATGGATATAAAGTAAGAAAATAAAAGAACTACCAAGGAATTTTTAAAGTGAATATGGAAATTTTATTATATCTGCTCTTAAATGGTATGAAAATAAATATTTCAAGGTAGTCAGGTTCTCTGGGAAATCAGCTTTGTATAGTCATTATAGATTTGTGTTTAAAAAATTCTTTATATTAGTTATTCATATATTTGTTTGTTTGTTTTCATTCCAGTGATTATTTTTATTTAAACTTGTTTTTGGCTGATGATTTTGAGACATTATAATTTGTACCAATGACTACAGTTACCATAAAATTCTACTTGAGCACATTTAAACAAAAACATCTTTTATCTGTTCTCATATCTTTAAGTTTCCCTGGAAGATTACTCTCTTTACTCATTTAATGAACATGCCCTTAACTATCGTCGACATTTTGGTACCTATTGTGCAGGAATCTTTTCATTCTGGGTCCACTTCTATCAGGTAAACTGAAGAAGAGATGATACAAGGTAAGATAGATAAAAGATA
Source organism: Homo sapiens (assembly GCF_000001405.40). Lineage (NCBI taxonomy): Eukaryota > Metazoa > Chordata > Mammalia > Primates > Hominidae > Homo > Homo sapiens. The sequence continues at coordinate 89,371,481 of NC_000003.12, forward strand.
AGATAAGAAATGATAGGACAAGATAATGTGTGGGCTGGTTTATTTGTATTCCTTATAAGGAGATTTGTAGAGTTTCTCTCTCAAAGTACTGACTGTCAGCCAGGGCCACCTCCAGTTCAGTAATACACAACTGTACCGTGTGGCACATTTAGATTGTTTAAGGGAAGTCTGTTAATGGGAAGAGTTTTGCTAGTTTGTCTTCCTCTACTTGGTTTATTGTACAAGGCACAGTGATACACATACACACACACACACACACACAACACACACACACATATGTGTATGACTGAGATTGACAAGTAGCAAAGTTTTAAGACTGGATAATTTATTATATGGAAATCTTTCATATCCTAGTCAACACTGCTTGCCTATATTGAAGAGAAACAGTTTCTAAATGACTCAACATTTGAAGAGTTACTAGAATAAGTCTGGAGTGGGCTTTACTCTCAAACCAGTTGTTTCTGTAGGGCAATTCTCTATGATTAACTTCCAGCCTAGGGAGTTATCTAAAAGCTTTCTTCAATTAAAAAAAAAAATAAAACCATTTTAGCAGAGAGAGGGAGGAAAGAAAAAAAATGTCACCACAAGTTTAAGTTTCTGCATAACTGATCATCAATCTGGTCTGAAACATTCCGATAAAATTGGCATTGACATTTGCCCATCTTGGAATCTATGGATTGATCCATCTGAAGGTTTTGGAACCAGTCAGCCTCAGTGGGATGTACTGACAAGAAGGTAGGGTATCTCAAGACAGGACATCCTAGGACAACTCATAGCTTCACTAGTCATGACCTAGTATTGAAGAGGCTTCATATACAAATTTAAGGCTTAAAGACTTTATAGTGTGATGGAGACTATTGGTTACTTCTAGCAGCAACCCCCTCACCCTCATACTTAGGTTCAAGCCTTTATATTCCAAGATATTTTTAAAAACACAGCAGCTTTTATTCATATATAGCACAGACTTTTTATTCCTTCTAATTGAAAAAAAAAAACTTTGCAATTTGCAATTGGCATATGTGCCACTTCTAGGAATGCTCTTAACCACTTCATCAGACTTGGCACTGTCTGGATGTTGGTTTTGATTGCCAACCTATGAAAGAGAAAGGAAATCACAAAAGAGAAAATTAACAAGTGAGCACAGTTCCAAAATTTGTTCGACAAATGTGTTTTAAATCAAATGAATCATCCTTTGGCACAAGCTATTCACTTTATAGTCATTCATTTGAACAGCTTAGTCTCTGTCTCCTACAGACTGTGGTTAACATTATTCTTGATGAATGAGACAGTTACCTTAAAACATAAATAAAACAAATAGAATAACTTAACATCTGACTCTCAAAGGAAGGTATGTTATCTTACCTTGCACTAGTAATATATTTTAAATAAAAGTATTCAGAAAATCAGCTAAAACCACAAAAGAACCAAGGATATGTCTACATAGAACTGCTGCATGAAAAAAGTAGTTTGATCAAATACATATATCTTGATTAAGAAAATATGTGACCCTTCCAAATATTTTATCAGTTTTCTTTTCTAGTCTTTCACTCCATAAAAGTAGTTTCCATTCTTATTATTTTTACTTACTAATTTAATTAAAAGTCTCTGGCACAAAATAGTTTTCACGCCATAGAGTATTGTACTTATTGCTGAAATCAACATTTTAAAATTAATTTCAAGTCTTTGCAAGGGCAAAGACTTACAAAAGTAAATAATTATGTAAATCTTAACCTGTAAGATAATCTTTTTTTCTTGTTGTTTTTTGTCATCCCATTTAATCTTTACTTTTAAAGAAATTATATTGCTAATTTAAAATTTCCTCCAGCCACTTTTTGAACTGAATCCTTAGGCAAGATAACAACCTTTTAAATGTGTAGAACATTTTTTCTTATTTATGTAGGCTTTATATAGATAACTTTGCATATATTTCTGCATCATTTTCCAACATCCATCTTACCTCACAAAACAAAACCCTGGTGTAATAATTGTGAAATGGCAATGTTATTTCAGAAAATTCTTTTAGCAGCAAATGGGAACTTAGAGAGTCAGAAACAGAAAAGATTTCTGTGTAAGCCCACTGGTCTCATTCCTATGTGACAGGTGTCTCTGTTGGTGAAGTCTGCTAGTCAGTGGGAAACCAGGATATCATCACCCTGCTGTGAATGAGTCTCTCCCAGAGGGAACTCACTTATCTGCCTCTGTCTCTGACTCCTACTAGACTCTAATTCTCACTCACCATGAGAATTGACAGGAAAGATCTATTCAGAGATGTATTTCACTTCACTTTCCATCCTGGATCAGGCTTCTATTTGTGGGTTTGTTCAACATATTATATTAACATAGAACTAAATTGCATTTTATAAGGCTTTGAGATGTAGAGGATAAGGTCGATGTCATTACATGGTTTTATTCATTCTAAGTACTAGAATTTAACTCTAAGGGTCAAATAGAGTCCATTTGGTCTGATTACTATGAGATAGGTGCTATTCAATACTATATATAATAAATATCAGCTTTTATTAAGACAACAAAAGGATTTGTTAAAAATGAGTTTCCGAACTAAAATTTCAAATATGTACAATTATACACTCTCCACACACACACATACTCAGAAATATAGTCATATATAAAATGTTCAGTAAGATATTTTCTTGTTGCTTGGGAATTGGCAACTAGAATAAAAAAGTCAGGCAAAAATACACCAAGTATACCACATACAAAAGAGAACTGCAAACAGTTGGAGCCAGACACATCTTGAGGCATTTTTAAGAGGAATTAAATGGGTCCTTGCCATGTAGATTTTTGCAGAATCATCTGAAAACGTCATGAGTGCCTACAGAAAGCTAGCACACAATAGTAAAAGTCAGTATTAGTCAAGAAAACAGTGGAAGTCAACAAATACAGTGCAAATGTGTGCACAGCTAAGTATAACCTCTATTTTCCACCATCTCTCCACAGTCCTCCAACATTGGAAAAGGGAAGGAAGATGTAAATGAGCTGACTTTTTTCCTCTTCCACCCATGAAATTGCTGTTTTATACTGTTATACACTGGGCATTAATAACCAAAAGTGAAGAGCAGGCTATGAGATATTACAGCAATTTCATCAAAGAACAAGAACTTGAGGTTCAACAGATCAGAGGGTCTCTGTTCTCTGTATTTCACTTTTTAGAAAAATCCCATTGGTCTGGTCTGCATTAGGATGTCTGCTGCTTGTTTGAGGGCCAATTGTCATGATACATCTCAGCTATTTCTTGGTCATTTGGAATGACCAAGTAATGAAGTAGCTCTTATTTTCTAACCTGAGAATGCCACATTCCGAGCACATAACAGAATAAAAAACTAAATTTTTGGTTCAGAATAGCCACCCAACTTAGAGTAGACAGAAAAATAGAGACTTCATTGAAAAAAAGTAATGCCACTAAACCTCTATATAACACCACAAACTATCCTTCATTCCACTATAGCAACTGTAGGTCCTGTTAATCAAATAATTTTCAATATTATCTGTATCACAGCTTACAACTCAATTTCACAATTCAAGAATAAGTTTGAGGCATCGACGTTGCTGGGGTAGAGATATATTTGTGTATGTGTGTGTGTTAGCTCTGTGTATTCATATGCTTGTATGTTTGTGTGTTTTTTTAGTTTTCCTAAACTTTGTCCCACTCAAAGCCAAAACTACCCAGTGACACACAATGAGCCATTAACTAAAATAGACTTAAACTGTTAAAGTGTCTTGAAAACCCAAATAAAGCTTTATATGGTCTCGGCTGTCACCAATATTCCTAAGTATTTACAATGATGCAAGGTCTCTTAGTTTGAATTCTCCCAGAAGTAGGCATTGAGATGAGAATTTGAATATAGGTTGTTTATTTGGGAATGATCCCTGAAAACACAGGCAGGGGAGCATAAAAATGAAACAAGGAAAGGAAGGCAGCCACTGAAGAATAAGTATTAATCATTTTACCCTGTGGGAAACTGGAGCTTAATCCTGTTGCTGAAGAGTGGGAGCCCGTTTGGAATACTTGCTTCAGAGTTATCCCACACTAGATAAGAGGAAGCTGGGATATTTATACATGAACTCTTCATCAGTCATTGACTGAGAGCTGTTCCAAAGATGAGAGGTAATTGAAGAGTATAATTTTTTATCCCCAAGACTTCCAGCCTAAAGTGCATGAATAGAAGTGACTCTGATAACAAAAGAAGCCCTCAGTCATACAGATTAAGTAGCTGACATCTTGAAATTGGAAAGTTGCCCATATAGTAAATTCCAAAGGGATATTGTACAGACACAAACAAAATAGGCCCATTAGGTATCCTGGAAGAGCTGTAGTACTTCAAATCCTTCAGTGGTTAACTGAGATGATGATAGGTTCCATATGCATTTGAGGGAACATAGGTTATCAGAGGGAAATTTGTAAAGAAATCCAACTCTAGCAATGAGAATGTTTCAGATCTCCATAAAGGCAGGCGACACATCTGCCTTTTTACACTACTTTAACCTTCACACCTTACATGGCACCTGGCATACAGTAAGCACAGAAAATCTTCTTGAATGAAATCATTTTATGATATTTACTTTAATAATTTTTACTAAACTGATAAGCAAAGGTAAGCAAAAAGGAACACATAAAGAGATATTCCATACATTATTAATTTTAAAAAGACCCTAGAACCATAATAAGGAGCACTATAAGACTAATTAGGATGCTTTATTGAATTAAATGCAAAATTGTCTTTGAAACAATTTTCAAACAATTCCAGAATTTTTTAGATTACTTCGGGAATTAAATAAAAGAATACATGAATCTAATATATAATGATTAGTAATTGAGCTTTATGTAGGATGTGTGTATATAAATATATATATATACACACAACTAAAAGTGTATATTTATAATATGTATACATATTTTAGATATTGTATGTACATATAAGTATGTCCTCCAAGTTGTACCTTTAAAATTAGTACAATCAGATTTTGCTTTCCTCAGTTTTCTTTCCTTCTATATCAACTGTGAATAAATGATTTTCTAACTGGTGTAGGGTTTCTGATGATTCATATGGTTTAAATAATTTATGTTTTAATTTCATCAAATATTTGTGCCCATATTTTTGTGATTTTTATATTCATATTTAAAAATATAAACAAAGTCTCCTCTATACTGCATGTCTTCCACCTATATTTGGATTAAAATGTGTTGATAAGATTTCAAAGACTAAAGAAAGGTTGATACTAAGCCTTGAGATGCCAGTTTTCACAGCAGCCACTCTTGGGATAGTTTGTCATCAGCGTTATTTGCCATTTCCTTAAATGAACATTGGTAGTTAGCAATTTGTAGTTCATAAGGGCCTTTTAATTTGTCTTCGAAAAGTGGCTTTGAACATATGTTATTTTGTTAAATTATAGATGTTAACTGAATAAATTCTTTGGTTGCATGTTTTCTTTCTACAATCACTTGATTGTTTCCTATAAAACCCTGCTGACTTTTTAAGGAACGTGTTGGAAAATTTTTCTCACAACTTTCCTTCTGTGCCTGTAGTTTTTGGAGTTGCTTCCCTCATTATAAATGTAATTGCCAGGGGTTTTGTCACAGGAATATGATCTTTTTTAGTTCAAAACTTTCATTCTGCTTATGTAGATTGTTTTTTCTTATCTGATTTCATGTCCCATTGTGTTACTAAAATCTAGTGGTGAATTACCTAAAGCACTTCCCAACCTGTCTCTATACATTCTTTTAGTGAATGAAGAGAATACGAACATTATATTATGTGTAATTGCCTGTGCATCAGATGCTTTATATTGAACACAAATGTTATGGAAGATTCATTTCATATGTACCCATTTGCAAACTTTACATATTGTTTAGAACCAACATCTGGTCTTACTGAACTCTTATTTCAGGATCTCCTTTTAGAGATTAAACCAACCCATTAAAGCCAAAAATCCATTTAACAGTTATTCCTAAGGTTAACAAAGAGTAAAAATACCACACTTTAGCCATCCAGGAAGGTAAGGTATAACATAGATTCATAGATGCATGTATGAAAACCAACTGTGAACCACTCTAGAATGTAAAGGGTAACGAAACCCACTCGTATTTGGAAAATAGACTACCAGACTTTGTAAACTTCAAGTTTGCTTTGCCTCTAGCATTTTTCCCTCATTTTTTTTCCTAGCTAGGTGCATTTTGAAGGAAATTTAACTTGAAAAGCATGTTTCTAAAGCTAAACCACAGACTGTGCGATGTGAATAATAATGATTCTTGGCTTATTGTTTTTCAATTCCAGAAGAAATCTGACAGACCAGGCCAGCAACACTTTATAATGCTTATATAATAGTTTCATACAGATCTTTTTTTCAACAAATGGCTCTGAAAATTAGAAAAAAAATATGGAACACATAGAAAAATGTTCAAAATCATTCAAAGACATGTAATTAGTTTAACTACCCCTTAATTCTGGTAAACCACATGTACTACTTTTTACTCCAGGTTATTCTTTTTTAAAACTAAGTGTATTGGCAAGAACAGAAAACCAAACACCGCATGGTCTCACTCATAAGTGAGAGCTGAACAATGAGAACACTTGGACACAGGGAGAGGAACATCACACACTGGGGCCTGTCACAGGGTGGGGGACTAGGGGAGGGATAGTATTAGGAGAAATACCTAATATAGATGATGGGTTGATGGGTTCAGCAAACCACCATAGCACGTGTATACCTATGCAACAAAGGGGGACGTTCTACACATGTATCCTAGAACTTAAAGTATAATAAAAAATTTTTTAAGTGTATTGGGATATATTCACATCTCATGAAATCCATTCATTTCAAGTGGACAATTCAATAATTTTTAGTTACTTTATTGACTCATGCCGGCATCCCCAGAAATCAGTTTTACAATGATTTTACAACTAACTAATAATGATGATAAACTCATCATTGCATTTTTAACTATTTTTCGTGTCAATTCTAACTTAAGAATCATTACATGTAATTTAGTTTTTTACAAAAAATCTCATCATGAAAAGGCTTAAGTTTACTTCACAAGCTTGGAAATAATGTTTAGAATCTTTCCACACATTAGGTAAAATGTAGTATCTCCCTGTAAAACTGAAGTCTTCACACCTGTGTTTGAGAACACTTGCTCTATATAGGCTAATGACAATTTTCTGTAAACTACTGAGGTTAACAATTAGAAGTGCAGGAACCTAAATACATACATTGGATTGAAAGCCAAATCCTTGAAAGAAACAAGTATTGCTGTATTTGTATCTGCATGATTTCCTTTTTAGCTTTACTTATGAAATCCAAAAATTGAGCAGCTTAAGGCTATTTTTTCTAATGTGTTGAAATTGTAAAGGCGTGTATAAACATCAATCAGTTAATCAGTTCTCAAAATTCTGAGATCAATTATGTGAAATATTCATAATGGCAAAAATAAGTATTGATGCAATTTACTTATTTGGATGGACTTAAGAAATAGAATCGCTCCAAAATTTATGGCTAGCTGAAAAGTTACTTGACAAAAATTCTTCAGATAAATTAATCCTGTGTGCTGGAACTAAACAGGTCAGGCCACAAGCATCATGGAAATTAAGCAGCAGGTAATCTGTCTCTGCAATTTCCCCTTTGCTTTCTGCTCAGATTTTTAAAAATTTCTGTTTGTGAGGTATAAAGTTATTTATTGCCACTCAATGTTTGCATTTCTTAATCAAGTAATATGGGGCAGAGAAAGAGTAAATTTGTTTGGGATAAAAAGAGACTGAGAAGTATTAGTAAACCCAAGCATAGACAATGCAAATTTTACAGCCAAAATAGAAATTCTGCAGGCATGATTGCTTTTGGAAACTGTAAGTCTCTGCTGGTGTTCACTTTGTTTGTATAAATATGCAAACAGACCCAAATTAGCATATTCCCCACCTGCACCCTTCAGAAAGCTAAACTAGAAACTATTAATACACACAATCTCTTTTTGTAGTACTTAATTTGTTAACATTTTAATTGAAATTTGATAATGGGTTTAGGATATATACTTGGAGGAGAAGTAGAGTAGATATTAGGATTCCAGTTATAATTGTCAAGTGCATTTCACTTTTTCGTATTATATTTTTAGGTGATTGCTTCTAAGTTAGAAAACAAAGACTGTGCTCTTTAAGAGTACGCCTATGTTACAAATAAGTTTCTGGTATCGTGGTAACATGGAACTAGGGCTTCTCAGAAAGATTTCATGGTAATCAAAATGTTTTACATTGTATACAATGACCAACCAAAATTATTCTTATTTTCTGAAATACTATATTGTCCCATTTTTTCAAGCCAAATGAGTATTTTTATGTGTGAGTAAATTGGATAGCTCTGAGCTAATTTCCAAAATCTGATTTCCAAATGTTTGAATTGACTTCATAAGTTTTCTGTTATGGGAGGTCTGGGATTTTGCCCCCTTAAAGGAAGGGATCAACCTACACAACTTTCAATAGGACCTCTCTTTCTGCTTCAATTAGTCTCTATTGCACTTTGGGTGGGGTTGTCAGGCATATACAAGCCATATGGGCCAGGCATATATAGGCCATATGTTAAGCAATATTTTTTTTCTGTTTCCACGCACATGGTGAATAATATTTTGATGCAATGCATACGTCTATGTTGTCCACCATATTAAAAAAATTTTGAAGAGAGATAATTCCTTTTGAAAACTCATGAGTCATATAACAATGTAGAGTTAAGCAATGGTGACTCACTCAGGCATGTGATATGTATAAGGACAGTTGTCATTTCTGTAGGAGTAAATCAATTTCTTTCTCACTCGCCTCAGAAGGTATTTATGTGAGAATGAAGTTATAATGGAGCCACAGTTGAATCCATACACATATATATATGCATGCGTCTGTGTGTTTTTGTGTATGTTTCAAATTTGGCTCCTCAATTAAAGTTAGCAGTTTATTATTTGTCACACAGACCCCAAAAACAACAGGGTTTGTGTATGACGCCTTTGATAACTCTGGTCTGGTGTAACAATGCCCTCATTTTCTTTTCTTACTTATACGAATGAAAGGAGCCAGCCAAGACTAAACAACATTGTTTATTTTGGGCCTCAACAGTACCAACCAAGAGGAGGTAGTGCTAGAAAAGGGGTTTAGCTTATAATTTAGTATAACCATCTAATTAATAATGTAAGCTGACTAAAATCAGAGGCGCTAATCAGCAGAGACACAAAGCAACATATAGTAAACTTGTAAGTGTACTATAAACTGTGACTCTTTAAACAGCATAATAGGTAGTAGCTTTTTTTTTTTTTTTTTAATGAAGTTTTGCTCTGTTGCCCAAGCTGGGGGGCAGTGGCGCAATCTTGGCTCACCGCAACCTCCGCCTCCTGGGTTCAAGCAATTCGCCTGCCTCAGCCTCCCAAGTAGCTGGGATTACAGGTGCCTGCCACCACTCCCGGCTAATAGTAGTAGCTTTTTAACCAAAGCTGCTATAGGCTGTTTGTTTGTTTCTTTTTTTGAGACAGAGTCTCGCTCTCTTGCCCAGGCTGGAGTGCAATGGCGCCATCTCGGCTCACTGCAAGCTCCACCTCCTGGTTTCCCGCCATTCTCTTGCCTCAGCCTCCAGAGTAGCTGGGACTGCAGGCACCCGCCACCACGCCTGGCTAATTTTTTGTATTTTTAGTAGAGACGGGGTTTCACTGTGTTAGCCAGGATGATCTCGATCTCCTGACCTCGTGATCCGCCTGCCTCGGCCTCCCAGAGTGCTGGGATTACAGGCCTGAGCCACCGCGCCCGGCCTATAGGCTGGTTTTAAACCTGTGTATAAGTTAAACATCAAAGAGTGCATCATAGACGTCTTTCACTATCTGAATGTTTCTGTCCCCTCCACATTTATACATTGAAACCCAATCATCAGCGTGGTATGATGGCTCATGCCTGTAATCCCAGCACTTCAGGAGGCCGAGGTGGGCAGATCACTTGAGGCCAGGAGTTCAAGACCAGCCTGGCCAATATGGCGAAACCCATCACTACTCAAAATACAAAAATTAGCCCGGCATGGTGGCACATGCCTGCAATTCCATCTACTGGGGAGGCTGAAGCACGAGAATCACTTGAACCTGGGAGGCAGAGGTTGCAATGAGCCAAGATTATATCACAGCACTCCAGCCTGGGTGACGGAGTGAGACTTTGTCTCAAAAAGAAAAAAAAAAATTAGGACATGAGCCCTTGGAAAGATGATGATTAGGTCATGAGATTAGAGCCATCAGAAATGGGATTAGTGCTCTTATAATGAAGGCTCCATAGAGCTACCTTGTCCTTCCATCTTGTGAAGACACAATGATGCTAGAATGCGCAATCTATGAATCGGGAAATAGACTCTCACCAGACACCAAATCTGCTGGCACCTTCATCTTGAACTTGCCAGTCTCCACAGCTGTAAGAAACATCCATTGTTTATAAGCTGTTCAGTTTGTAGTATTGTTATAGCAGCCCAAATAGATTAAGACAAGAACTCTGGGTTTAAAGAGTGAGAAAAAAAATTACAGCAAGATTGTATACATGCCAAATAGCCAGCTATTTCTTTAGATAGCTTATTACCTCTCTGTCAAGCAGAGGTCTTTTGCTTGCTTGAAAAAAGTTCTAGATTATATTTCTCTACTGCAATTGTTTTGAAATGCATGTTTTATTGTAACTCAGGTATGGTGCGGCCAACAGATCAGGAGAAGGTTGCCACTAAAAAATAGAGACTATGGCTGGGGGTGGTGGCTCACACATGTAATCTTGGCACTTTGAGAGGCAAAGCTGGGTGGATTACCTGAGGTCAAGATTTCATTACCAGCCTGGCCAACATGGTGAAGCCTTGTCTCTAGTAGAAATACAAAAATTAGCCAGGCATGGTGGTGGGAACCTGTAATCCCAGCTACTTGGGAGGCTGAGGCAGGAGAATCACTTGAACCAAGGAAGTGGAGGCTGCTATGAGCTAAGATCGCACCATTGCACTCCAACCTGGGCAACAGAGCAAAAATTCCATCTCAAAAAAAAAAAAAAAAAGAGAATATTCCATGTCACATAATGCCACAAAGAGAAGCACCAGGGTCAGTCAGGAGGCAGAGGGAGCAAGGGAAAAGCATGGATGGGAGCATTTATTGTGGTTTCATGAGAAAGGCAAGACAGGGTAAACAGAGTCGGGGTTGGTTTGCTTGAATAATTTCAGTTAGCTCTGAGGTATAGGGACTGTCTCTAGCAGTCTGGTACCTGACCCTGACAGGATTAGGACAGAAGAATATTGCTTGCTGGAAGTTAAGAGCCAGAAAGAGGAGGTGTTTCAGAGGAAAGGCTCTGGATTGGTTAGTTTGCACATGAAGGCATGTTCCTGGACTAACATTTGCTATCTCTAAGAATTGAAGAATTGACTAGCCCTAGAAGAGACAATTTCTTCCCAGTCAGTGAGGCCTCAGATGCCAGAGCATCAGGAATACAAAAAGAAGAAAATATTCAGAGTAACTTCATATATTGATATACTGATATCTACTAATATAAACCATATGTTTTACTTCTTTTAATATTGAGTAAAACATACAATGAATTATTCTATTCATAAATTTGAAAGTTAATGGCCTTTCACAAATATATATCCTCCAATCAAGATATAGATTATTTCTAATTACTGTAGAGTGTTCTCTGCTGTTCACTTCCACTCTATAGTTGTAGTTTGCTAATAAAAGATTAAGACCAGCACATATTTTGTTTAGTGTCTGAATATAACATAACATAATATATAATGGCATTTCGTTTTACTCCTTTCTATCCTATGCTTGGGCACAGCACATGAGCCAAACAACCCAAGAATAGCCTTTCCGAATAGTTTTCCTACCATTATCTGTTAGAATGGAGGGTGGGCAAATATCAATCCTTTCTTGAACTAAAGATATATTTAAGTTACATCTCTCAACTTTTGCCTCTAATTAAAAGTGACCAAAACCTTTTTTGAGAAGCTCCACAGAGAATCCTGCAAGCATCCACCTGCCCTGTGCTGGAACTGCCCTGGCTGTTCTAGCCCTGAATGACCCTCACTCAGAACAGATTTATGACCTCAGCAGTGCTTTAAGACAAACAAATTAATAAGAAACAAAACTTCACAGTGTGGTCAGCCTACTTCTTCTTCTTTTTTTTTTTTTTTTTTTTTTTTTTTGAGACGGAGTCTCACTCTGTAGCCCAGGCTGGAGTGCAGTGGCGCGATCTCGGCTCACTGCAAGCTCCACCTCCCGGGTTCACGTCATTCTCCTGCCTCAGCCTCCCGAGTAGCTGGGACTACAGGTGCCCGCCACCACGCCCGGCTAATTTTTTGTATTTTTAGTAGAGATGGGGTTTCACTATGTTAGCCAGGATTGTCTCGATCTCCTGACCTCGAGATCTGCCCACCTCGGCCCCCCAAAGTGCTGGGATTACAGGCGTGAGCCACCGCACCTAGCCAGTCAGCCAATTTCTAATCTGAAATTTGTTCTGCATTGATTTCAGCTTGATTTTATAGAATCATTCAAAACCACATGTTCATCAGCCATATACTTTCAATAGTTGTCCCTCCTCGATCTTTGGAGCCATCTATACTGAGATAAATGTGATTTATTGTTCAGACTAAAAAGTTGTATAAGATACTATCTAATTTTTTTCTAAGGTTTCATATTTAGTCCTTCCAATTTTGATTATCAACTGTAGTTTTAAAGTTTCTACTTTGTCGTCTTAATTTTGTGGAAACCAGTGAATTAAGACAACAAGCAGAAGATATTGCCTAAAGCAATCCTGCATTGGTTGGGGACTCGGGCTATTAAAATTCCATCAAAGTTAATGTTCTTACCCAAGATTAACAAAGCCAGTAGATAGACATATTTTTCACTTGCAAATCTAAGCTATATTTTCTGGAAAGTGAAAGACAGAAACTTAACTGAATTTAGGAATTTTGCAAAATTGTTTTTCGCTCTCTGGGAATAAAGATTTGATCTTCTCCTTGTGGATTGTTTACATTTTCTCTGAAATGTATTTTTCTAAAACGTTTAGGCTCTAACAAACAGAAGTGTGAAGCATGTATTTTTCATACATAAAATTAAGAATATTGCCTTTTAAAAATTCACACAATTAAATGCATATCTGTCTAAGCATTTTGAGGGTATCTTATGTTTCAGGTACAATTGATGAAAAAAAGAAAGAATGTCATAGATGCGGTTGAATTTCAGTTGTCTCATGTTAAAAGACCACCAGATCCGTTAGCAGCTTCATATGATATATGTAAAGAATAAGCACTAGGCTGAAAGATGCACATAAATACACACATACACAAATATTTAGATGAATAACCATCATTCTCATCACCTTGTATAACAATGTATGGATGTCCCAGGATAGGGATCACTAGATGCTTAAACTGCAGATGTATTATATGTACTCACAGCCCTCTAAAGGACCTAAAGAGATAAAAATATTGTAGAACATCCCAGAAAAGAGATAAGAATATTGTAGAACATCCCAGCAATCCAAGGATCATTTTTCTAAAACATACTGATTTTATACACACACATACATAAATACAAATATTATACATACATATCTCCTCTAAGAGTCACAGTATTTTATGATAGGTTTGCTAATATACTGCATTTTCTAAAAGGATTTCATTATGAAAAAAAATTATTTGCTCTATATGTATTATTTCCTACCAACATAATTTCTTATTTTAGAGATAATCAACTTCAGCTTCAAGTGGACAATAAGAGTTTTAAATATAGCTGTTTATCAATATTAACCTCTTATATGGTTTGACTCTGTGTCCCACCCAAATCTCAACTGGAATTATAGTTCCCACAATCCCCACATGTTATGGGACGGACCCAGTGGGAGGTAATTGAATCATGGGGGCTGTTACCCTCATGCTGTTCTCATCATAGTGAGTTCTCGCAAGATCTGATAGTTTTATAAGGATCTTTTCTCCCTTTTGCTTGGCACTTCTACTTCCTGCTGCCATGTGAAGGACATGTTTGCTTCAACTTCTGCCATGATTGTAAATTTCCTGAGGCCTCCCTAGTCCTGAAGAACTGTGAGTTGATTAACCCACTTTCCTTTATAAATTACCCAGTGTTGAGTAGTTCTTTATAGCAGTGTGAGAGAAGACTAATATAGTAAATTGGTACCACAGAGAGTGGGGTGCTGCTATAAGGATACCCAAAAATGTGGAAGCAACTTAGGAACTGGGAAACAGGCTAAGGTTAGAACAATTTGGAAAACTCAGAAGAAGACAGGAAAATATGGGATAGTTTAGAATTTCCAAGAGACTTGGGAGGCTTAGAAGACAGAAAGATGTGGGAAAGTGTGGAACTTCCTAGAGACTTGTTAAATGGCTTTGACCAAAATATTGATAGTGATATAAACAATGATGACCAGGCTGAGGTGGTCTCAGATGGAGATGAGGAACTTGTTGGCAGCCGGAATAAAGTGCTTCTTTTAATAGCTTGGCAAAGAGACTGGTGGCATTTTGCCCCTGCCCTCGAGATCAGCAGAACTCTAAACTTGTGAGAGATAATTTAAGGTATCTGGTGGAACAATTTTTTTAGTAGCACAACATTCAAGAGGAAGCAGAGCATTAAAGTTAGGAAAATTTGCAGCCTGATAATGGAGTAGAAAAGAAAAACTCATTTTGGTGGGGGAGAAATTCAAGCTGGCTGCATAAATTTGCATAAGTAATAAGGAGCCAAATATTAATTGCCAAGACAATCGGGAAAACATCTCCAGGGCATGTCAGATATCTTTTTGACAGGCCAGGAGGTCAAGGAGGGAAAAATGGTTTTGAGGGCCAGTCCAAGGACCCCCTGCTGTGTGCAGCATTGAGACTTGTTGTCCTGTGTCCCAGCTGCTCCAGCTGTGGCTAAAAGAGGCCAAGGTATAGCTTGGGCCATGGCTTAAGATGGTGCAAGACCCAAGCCTTGGCAGCTTCTTCCTAGTGTTGAGCCTGCAGGTGCACTGAGGTTTGGGAACCTCCACCTATATTTCAGAGGATATTTGGAAATGCCTGGATGTCCAGTCAGAAGTTTGCTGCAGGGGCAGAGCCCTCATAGAGACCTCTGCAAGGGCAGTGCAGTAGGGAAATGTGGGGTCCCCAGTGGGGCACTGCCTAGTGAAGCTGTGAGAAGAAGGCCACTATCCTCTAGACCCCAGAATGGTGGATCCACTGACAGCTTGCGTTGGATGCACCTGGAAAAGCCACAAACACTCAACACCAGCCCATGAAAGTAAATGGGAGGAGTGCTGTACCCTGGAAAACCCAAGGCTGTGGGAGCCCATCTCTTGCATCAGCATGACTTGGATATGAGACATGGAGTCAAAAGAGATTATTTCAGAGCTTTAAGATTTAATTATTGCCTTGTTTGATTTTGGACTTGCATGGGCCTGGAGTCCCTTTGTTTTGGCCAACTTATTTCATTTGGAATAGGTGTATTTAGCCAATGGCCGTACCCTCATCGTATCTGGGAAGTAAGTGACTTGCTTTTGATTTTACAGGCTCATAGGCAGAAAGGACTTGACTTGTCTCAGATGAGACTTTGGATTTGAATTTTTGGGTTAATGCTGGAATGAGTTAAGACTTTGGGGACCATTGGAAGGGCATGATTATGTTTTAAAATGTGAAGACATGAGATTTGGGAGGTGTCAGGGGTGGAATGACATGGTTTGGCTCTGTGTCCCCACCCAAATCTCATCTTGTATTATAATTCCCATAATCCCCATGTGTCCTAGGAGGGAACCATGGGTGGGAGGTAATTAAATCATGGGGACAGTTACACTCATGCCATTCTCATGATAGTGAGTGAGTTCTCATGCTATCTGATAGTTTTGTAAGGGCTTCCCTGCCACTTCACTCTGCACTTCTCCTTGCTGCAGCCATGTGAAGAAGGAAGTGTTTGCTTCCCCTTCTATCATGATTGTAAGTTTCTTGAGGCCTCCTCACCCCTGAGTAACTATGTCAATTAAGCCTCTTTCATTTATAAATTACCCAGTCTTGGGCAGTGCTTTATAGCAGCGTGAGAATGAACTGATATAACCTCTTTCACACTGAAGCATTATATTTAGAAATCTATGATTATCCCCTAGATTTTCAGAACCATATCACATATATCATATGTATGAAGATTGCTCTAATTCTGTGAGGATACTGGGAGATATTAAAAAGAAGAAGACTTTTATATTTTTATAACAAGGAATATGTTGATTAATTGTTAAAATGAAATATAAGATTTCATTTTGGTGAATTTATGCAATAAATGACTATGAAATGCATACTTCATTTGTCATTACTTTTTTAAAATTTTTTATTTCTCCACGCTGAGAAAAGGATAAGATTATAAATTATAACAAAATTCTCCAGTCTTTAAAACTACTTTAGATCTTTAAAATTCAATGATTAAAATTTTGGAGTTTTAGTCTTTAGAAAAGACTAAATCTTGTGTATACTGTTATCAAAAAATCGGGGGAGGAAATTCTGGTCAAAATTTATTTTCAGTGTATTATGTCTTAGAATATTTTTCTCCCAGCACAATTAATTCTATTGAGAAAATTACTTTTCTTTTTACTATAGAAATTGAATAACATAAGTTTATAGAGAGTAGTCTCTCTTCTAAGCACATTTTCATTGCCATTTTGATTTTAATTTTTTTATTTTAATATCACGGGCTAAATAGAACTTATTTTTCAGAGGAACCAGCCAGAAAATATGCTGTATACTTTATTCCAAGGCTAACCAAATTCCATGGTAGATTTATGCAAAGCCGGCACTATGCTAGGCACCTAAGATTCTGAGGGACATACAGTCTAGTGGGAAGACATACTGTAAGCAAATGATGTAATTACAACACAATGCAGTCAGATAAATAATGGGAGAAGGAGCAACTATACTGTAAGAGGGCAGAGGAAGGACCTGATCAACTATTGCCTAAGGGACTCAGGAGAAACTTTATGAGGGAATTATATTAGCAAAGGATTTTGGAGACTAATGAGTAGTAGAAGCAGTTTTCCAGGTGGAAAAGAGAGAGATCTAGTGTTGCAGACAGGGAGTACAGCATACACAAACAACTGAAAAAAAGAATTGTCTTTAGAATTTTAGCTTTGTATGGAGAGCAATAAATGACAAAGCTGGTATGTATGTTGCAGTCTTGTGAGGAGCACTAAATAATAATGAAATGAATTTCAAATTTTGTATCCTACTGTAGTCCAAAGTTTCCCAACTCTTTGTGATCCTAAGAGTTATCTGCTATCATCTTCTTAAAAATACAGATCTCCAGACCGTTCTGTTGGAGCTTATTATTTGCTTAACATTTTAGAAAACCTAGATTTGAAATTATGTGATTTTGAAAGAGAGGGGAATCAATGTTTCATTTGCTTTATAAAATACTAAATCATCAAAATGTATAGAAAGTTGAAATTCTGAAAATATTAAGCTGAAAGTCATAGAATCCAATGCAGTTGGTAAATGGCAAGGGTTTGAACTAATCCACGGCTGGAAAAGTAGAAAAGTGATCAGTTTTCAGAAAGTTGAGCTGATTGGCAAGCTGAATTATTGGTGAGAAAAAATATAAACTATAACTCTGAGATTTTGAACTGGATACACTGCAAATTGATAAGGTTTTGTAGCTAAAATAGAAAATCAGAACACCAGGTTTGGGGAAATCAGTGTAGGAATGGTGAGTTGAAGAACATTAAGCAATGAATGATTATGCTAAATCAAACCCAAGAGAGTTTCTAGATTTAACAGAAGTGTTCACTTCTGAAAAAACTGAGAAGGAAATGTTCCTCAGTAGGCATTGTAATGAATGGTAAAGAAAAATAAGAGACTAATGCTTTTAAAGTCATGTCTGATTCAAAAGAAAAATCTTTCAACCATTCACTGCATATATTTTCCCATGGAGACAATTTTTAAAAGCTTTGGCTCACTTAGAAAAGAAATCCTGAGCCCTTTTTGTTATTACTTTAACTTGTCCAATCTCTAAATCACAGAGATACCTCAGAGGTTCATTAGAAATTCCCAAATCTAGAAAGAGGAAGGTCCCAATAAAAACAAATAAACCAAACCAGATCCTTTATGGGTTGAATTTTGAAGTTTTCACTTCCTGATTTTAAGGAAGGGTCATATTTTAGAGGCAGAATAATGGCAAATATAGATTTTAAAACACCATAGTTAAAACAAAGAATCCCTTCCATGTCTGTCACCAGATCTGGCAGACACATGTATCAAGTGTAATTCTAACACAAATTGTGAATGACGCAAGTCTCATCCCTAACCAGATCCCTTCACAAGGAGACACTTTCTAGCCAACATTTTTGCTTTACCATTGTAATTTGTTTTTCTATTATTTTATTGAGTGTAGTCAATGACTCAGGTTACAATGTGCAAAAATCTTCCTTCTGTACTTCAAATAGATGAAGAAACAATCTTTTAGAAAAAGTTCTTCTCTACTTCTCGGCTGAGGTTCAATTATTAACTTTTTTTAAATTTTTTTGAGACTGAGTCTCACTCTGTCGCCCTGACTGAAGTGTGGTGGTGTCATCTTGGCTCATTGTAACCTCCACCTCCAGGATTCAAGTGATTCTCCTGCCTCAGCCTCCCAAGTAGCTGGGATTACAGTCACACACCACCACAACCAGCTAATTTTTGAATTTTAGTAGAGATGGGGTTTTGCCATATTGGTCAAGCTGGTCTCGACCTCCTGACCTCATGATTTGCCCACCTCAGCCTCCCAAAGTGCTGGGATTACAGATGTGAGCCACCATGCCTGGCCAATTATTAACTGTTAAGAGTGGTACTTTGGCCGGGTGTGGTGGCTCATGCCTGTAATGCTAGCACTTTGGGAGGCCAAGGCAAACAGATCACTTGAGGTCAGGAGTTCAAAACCATCCTGGTCATCATGATGAAACCCCATCTCTACCAAAAATACAAAAAATTAGCTAGGCATGGTGGCCTTCGCCTGTAATCCCAGCTACTCGGGAGGTTGAGGCAGGAGAATTGCTTGAACCCGGGAGGCAAAGGTTGCAGTGAGCCAAGATCGTGCCACCGCACTCCAGCCTGGGCAACAGAGCGAGACTCCGTTTCCAAAAAAAAAAAAAAAAAAAGTGGTACTTTGCATCTCTCCGTTATATATGTCAACTAGTCATTGCATGTTGCTGATTCAAGAGGCTGTCATTGCAGTGGCCTGGACTTAGGGAAGAAAACACTGTGAGCAAGTCAACCCTTGGTTTCCAGAAAGTTATGTCTTCTTGGAAGAGAAATTGAAAAGCATTTTTTTTTTTTTTTTGAGACAGAGTTTTACTCTTGTTTTCCAGGCTGGAGTGCAATGACATGCAATCTCTGCTCACTTGCAACCTCCGCCTCCCGGGTTCATCTGATTCTCCTGCCTCAGCCTCCCGAGTAGCTGGGATTATGGGTGCCCAGCACTACATCTGGCTCGTTTTTTTGTATTTTTAGTAGAGCCGGGTTTCATGTTGGCCAGGCTGGTCTCGAACTCCTGACTGCAGGTGATCCATCTGCCTCAGCCTTCCAAAGTGCTGGGATTAGAGGCACGAGCCACTGCACCTGGCCTGAAAAGCACTTTTATATCAGCTTTTATAAAACACATATTACTAGATATATAGGGTGAAAATATCTGTCTAGTCCTATGTCATGATCGAAGAAACATTTGAAAGAAGAATAGATTGAAAGCATCATGCAATTCCACTGACACACAGTTAAGAGTTTCTTTAGTACTGGCGGTGTTTGGAAGTTTTCAGTACCGCTGTGTAAGTCCGGAGAAGCTTCATGGAGAATGGTCAGCTGTGTGATGCATAAGCCACCCCTCCCTCTTAGTCTTAACTATTTTTTTCTCCTTTATTTGTATTTTTTTCTTTTCTTTTCTTTTCTTTTCTTTTCTTTCTTTTCTTTTTTTTTTTTTTTTTGAGATGGAGTCTCGCTCTGTCACCCAGGCTGGGTGCAGTGGCGTGATCTCGACTCGATGCAAGCCTGCAAGCTCTGCCTCCCAGGTTCACGCCATTCTCCTGCCTCAGCCTCCCGAATAGCTGGGACTATAGGTGCCCGCCACCATGCCCAGCTAATTTTTTGTATTTTTTTTTTTAGTAGAGATGGGGTTTCACCGTGTTAGCCAGGATGGTCTCCATCTCCTGACCTCATGATCCGCCCGCCTCGGCCTCCCAAAGTGCTGGGATTACAGGCGTGAGCCACCGCGCCCGGCCTATTTGTATTCTCTTAAGAAATATTTCATTTAAAATATAATCAATACCACTTTACAAAGTATATTATGTCTCCTTTCTTTATAGTTTTACAAAGGGCACATATATCAGCTGTATCCAGAATAGCAAAAATTAAAGATCAAATATTAATATTATTTCTCTCTCTTAAATACCAATACAACAAAAATGTATTTTACATACCAGACATTATTTTAAATTTGCTAAAAATTATTACCTTTATACGGTTTTAAATTTTCTTTTTACCAGTTTCTTCATTTGTTTTTCTACAAAACTATTTGCTAACTTGCGTCAATGCCTGCACCAGTTTCTCAGCATCCTATTCTGTCATCAACTTCTTTCTCTTAATAGGGGAACCATTTCAGTAATCTATCAATTAGTTTGTGTAAGAGGCAGAAAATTAAAAATCCGGAGGGGCGCAGTGGCTCACTCCTGTAATCCCAGAATTTAGGGAGGCTGAGGCAGTTGGATCAACTGAGATCAGGAGTTCGAGACCAGCCTTGCCAACATGCGAAACCCTGTCTCTACTAAAAATACGAAAATTAGCTGGGTGTGGTGGCACGCATCTGTAATCCCAGCTACTTGGGAGGCTGAGGCAGTAGAGTCTCTTGAACCCGAGAAGTGGAGGTGCAGTGAGCCGAGATTGCACCACTGCACTCCAGCCTGGACAACAAGAGTGAAACTCCATCGAAAAAAAAAAAACCTAGGCTATCAGGTCATTTACTGGCAATTGCGATTTTAGCATCTATACCAGCATTTTTGCCAAAAAATCCCTGAGATTTCTCTTCCTTCTTAATTTTGCCTGTAGCTCTCAGCATTTTTCCAGTCTTAAGGAAGTTGAAAGTTTTTTTTTTCCATTTTGTTTAACCATTAACTTCCATTCTCTCAAATTGCAAATTTAAAAAACAGAAGAATGAAAAGAAAATAAATCTGTCATACAGTGTACACTGCAATATCATGAATTTTTGTACAGAAAAACACTGATTTAAAGAATTTCTATGAATTTGCAAATTAGTAATTTGAACAAATCACTCTTTGATATCTGAAAATTAATGAAAAGCATA
This sequence comes from Homo sapiens, assembly GCF_000001405.40. NCBI lineage: Eukaryota > Metazoa > Chordata > Mammalia > Primates > Hominidae > Homo > Homo sapiens. Next base: position 89,392,812 of record NC_000003.12, read on the forward strand.
ATTTGTATCACTTTCTCATTAATATTCTAAATTGTGTCACAGCACATAAAAAAATCGATAAATTATACCTCAAAACATGAATTAAAAAGTATTCTAGAAAACTTTTTAAAAGCATTGATACAATGGAGTGCCCAGAGAATTTGTCTCTTTCTCCATTATGTTTTATTATGTCCACATTATTTATCAGGGGAAAGAAAAACAATTCCTATTAATTATTTATTAATATTAAAATATTGATGAGTATTAAAAAGTACCGGGCTTCCAGCTGGTGTACTGAGTTGAACTTTTCTGAAATGCAGCCAGCACAAGGGGCGTGTATTAAAAGAGCAGAACAAATGACTTATTAGGGGTCCAAAAGCAGCAATCAGAAAAGGTTCATTTAACATAGCGATGGCACAAGCTTCAAGCAATTGCCTCTACTTAAGTAAGTGTGGAATTACAAAAGCCTATTTATTACAGTCCAACAGGGTCCTGCAGCTTGCTCAAAGAGCTTTGAAGAAATTCAACAGTTATAAAGTCCTGCTCAGTGCAGAAGCAGTAAAATTTGGACAGACCCCCAAAACAGCCCACAAAGCTTTCATGAAAAAGTTAATACAATCCTCATCGCAATTGTTCTTTGAAATGAATTGTTTTCTCACTTTTCTTTTTTTAAAGGAGAGATGCTGTACCTGGTTATTTTCAAAACTTCTTTGAAAATGAATTTTAACCACTAGGAAAAAATGAAAGTTTCATGGTGGTATCAAATTAAATGTAGGACCTCATGTGTTCCAACATTAAGCTTCTTGAAATGCTCTTGAAACCAACATTAAATGTGACTCCGTTAATGGACTTACTTCAGCAGAAAAATTAGTAGATTTCCTCATTGTAGAAAATGCAAAATTTGAGTCCAAAGACACTGGGGCTGAAATTTTTTTATTAGTGATTGGATAATGATTTGATTTTTCTAAGTATTAAAGTAAGCAAAAATAAATTTTTTTTTAAAAAATCCACATATCCATTTATTTATAATTCAGCAATACATTTATAAATATAGAATATGTTTATGAAGCTTCAACTAAAGTATAAGAAAAATAACTTATCTTTTGCTTGGAATCAATTTTAGAGAGCAAATTGCAGGGTTGTGGGGGTGAAGCCAATTTAGGGACTAAAATAGAGGATTATTGAATAGATGAAGAATTGATAATGAAAGGTAAATGATGTTAATTTGTATGAAAAGATATTAATTCCTAATGGGAGCAAAAAGTTGGTAAGAAAATGAATTTACTTTTTCATCAGAAAAGCAACACCTACATTTTTCCTTGGCAAAAGATTAAGTCAGGCCAAGTGTGGTGGTTCATGCCTGTAATTCTAGCACTTTGGGAGGCCTACCGGGGAGAATCACTTGAGCCCAGGAGTTCAGGATCAGCCTGGGCAACATGACAAAACTTTGTCTCTACAAATAATAAAAAATTAGCTGATTGTGGTGGCACAAGCCTGTAGTCTCAGCCAGTAGGATTGCTTTAGCCTGGGAGGTGGAGGCTGCAGTAAGCCGAGATCACATCACTACACTCTAGCCTGGAAAACAAGGGCAAAACCCTGTCTTAAAGAAAGAAAAAAATAATAAAAGATTAAGTCATCATTCCCAGGCCAATCCATGCTTCAATTAGAAGGTGTTCCTATGAGATCTCACAAATAATAAAACCCAGTTGATGGGAAATATTGCAGTAGATTCTATTTTTTGGTGTACAGTTTTCTCTGAAGTGGCACAAGGCAAGCATCATGAAAGTTTCTATTATAGGTGAAGAATAAAAATGAAAAGTGTTTATAGATAGGAAAGTTTGAATGAGAGGTCGGATGCAAAAATCATCATGTGATAATCATAGAAACATCAACAAATACAGAACTTCTGCTAACTTGTGGGAAATACAAATACATGAGGTTCTTATGGTCCTTGATTTGAGAAAAATCTATATAAAAATAAGTGCTTTAACAATGAAAACAATTCAACAGTTAATGTATCTAAAGATTCCTGAGTTTTTGTTTGTTGTGTGTTTGTAGTTTATTTTGCTGCATTCCATTAAGGCAGGGTGCCACTGAACTCCAGTGAGACATTTCGATTGGCGAGTGAACCAAGATTGAGATTTGAAAGCAGAAGTACTTTGATGATAGTATGCATTTTTCCTTTTAATGGAAGGGTTTGAAGAAGGAAATCACTTAAAATATTTTTAATCTTCAGTTAGAAATGAATTTGACCCTATGATATCTGATCCAAACAGATGGGGTTTTTATTCATATTCCATACTTTCGATAATGCTTAGCAAAACATAGCAAATGTAGAATCACCATCAAATAAGACATTTCAAAACATGTCTAGGTAATTGTAACACATATAGCAGTCATTTCCTTGGTACCTCTCATTAAGTATTTTTTTAAGAAATAAAACTGTACAAAAGAAGATTGTTGTTCCTTTTCTTTGTAGTCAAGAGATGTTTGTCAGAAGTCAAGGCCTACTGTAATATGTCCTAAATCATATCTATTTTACAATATACTAAATATTATTATTACCTATGGATACCATGGGACTCCTTGTGCATAATGGATTCCAGTCCTCTTGCAGAGCTGCATATGAAAATGTTATCAATGAGCTGAAGAATCTGGCATTAATAACTTTGCAACATTATAACAAATAGGTAGTCCTGATGTTTTGTTCTTTTTTTAATACATCAAATATATTTCATTGCTTACATTATAGTAGCAGATTGAAAACATCTGCTCACTTGCCACTAGTCCACCAGCAGCAGAGAATCTCAGCACATTTTCCCTAGGCCTGCATGTACCAGGGCTATAATCCAGCTGTTGAGTCTGGATATGGGGCCAGATTAATATTCAAGAGCCTTGGAAATGGAAATAGTGCTTTCTTGCCAAAAAACTGGAACAATGATAGACTCCATTTGCATGTTCCCTTCTCCCTCTGTTCTTATTCGCCACCCTTTCTAACCCATTAATTTGCTTCCTTCCACCTTCCCCTCCCATCCTCTCTTTACAGCTCCATCACCTGTCCTGACGATTAAGAAAGATCGGACCTCCAGAAATAGCATCTCTTTGTCCTGGCAAGAACCTGAACATCCTAATGGGATCATATTGGACTACGAGGTCAAATACTATGAAAAGGTGGGGAAACAATGTTTAAGGGTTGGGCTGTGTAGGCAAGAAGCTGTTTCCTCATGAGCTGTGCTCTTGCAAAGAAACCAGTGACATTCCTGGTAAATGGTAGAGCACTGTTTAGAACTGTGGCCCTGTGACCCCTTTGATTTATTGGTAGAGGAAGGTTTAGAAAGAATCTTGTTGAATACCCCCTATTCTACAGCAATAAACAACATCAAAGATGCCACTGCCAACTTAATCCAGTTACTTATGGCAATAGCATGACATTTATCTCCCTTTACACCAAGACCCCTACTCTACCAACTATTTTATTGTGGTTTCTTAGTCTATTTGTGAACTGTTTTTTTAGTTCATTGCCTCAAGCATCATTTCCTGACCTTCAAATTTACATGCATTTCATTCAATACAAATAGCAACATTGTGCTAGTAAGAAAAATATTGTATTATTTAACTGATGATGAAAAGATTTTCTTGACCCTGTAGAAGGAAATTTAAAAGGTTGGGGATAGATGGATAAATTTGCGTGACATAAAGTTGTGGCTTGGTAATGCAATTATTAAAAAAAATAGGCACATGGTTATTTTTACCCCAAATTTAAAAATTATTAAAAAATAGTTATGTGGTTATTTTGCCCTGAGTGGAGTGGCGAGTATTCCATCATTCTAAATAACTCATTTTTTTTCTGGTTGTAAATGATAGTAAAGTTTAAAGACAAGATATGTTTAAACCTTAGAATCACAGCTAGTTAGTTTCACAACTACTAACATGAACACTACATATTTGTGTATCTACTTCAGTTTATAAAGTGTGTTAAAATGAATTAAATGCAAATTGTGCATTTATATAGCAGTTTATATTTACAGAACATTTCTGTGGACATTACTTAAGTCTGAGCTGTATAACAACCTTATGGAAGTAGCAAAGTAAGTTGTTTTAGAAATAAGAAAACAGAGAGTGATGTTATATGAATTTCCCACAGCCTCATTGCTAATAAATATTAGGCATCTGTTTTGAATTGTGGCAGCCGTGAGTCCTCCTTTAGTAGGTTTTTCCCTATATCAGGTACCTTTTTCTACATGATAATAGATCCTTATAAGAATTATTGGCATAATCAACTGTGCAAACTGCGTAATGTAAAAACATTGTTTTGCATTATGTAGTTATTTCCTTGCTTGAAGTTAATATATTTCTCTAGTATAATGTCATTTTTTTCATAGTCTCTCTTACAGAAAGCCTAGAGTATATCTTTTTTATTAAAAGAAATTGATGCCAAATAAACTTCATTGTTCAAAAATTGTAGTAGAAATAAATTTTCTCCTAGCTTTGAGTCCTCTACTGTGGTAAAGTCAAATACTCATAGGATTGTGATCTATTTTCAGAAGTGTGACAAGATAGAATGGGCAAATATAATAATTCATGTTCATAAATGATGCCACAAAATTCTTAAAAATCAGTAATGTGCCTCAGTTCAAACTAGATTTCAGGACTGGGAGAAGAACACCTAACATTTAGATCTATGAGGTTGATCTCAAATTTTAATTGTATACATCTGCACCTTTCACAAACATGAGAAATATGCTGCCTTATTTCAAACTCCCTCAACAAATGCAACAAGCATCATTGCCTTTTTTTTTTTTTTTTTTTTGAGATGGAGTTTCACTCTTGTTGCCCAGGCTGGAGTGCAATGGCATGATCTCGGCTCACCGCCACCTCCGCCTCCCAGGTTCAAGCGATTCTCCTGCCTCAGCCTCCCAAGTAGCTGGGATGATAGGCATGCGCCACCATGCCCAACTAATTTTGTATTTTTAGTAGAGATGAGGTTTCTCCACGTTGGTCAGGCTGGTCTTAAACTTGTGACCTCAGGTGATCCACCCGCCTGGGCCTCCCAAAGTGCTGGGATTACAGGCGTGAGCCACCACCCCTGGACATTACTTTTAAACAATATTAGCTATTGCAGGAAAAAATGGTCAAATCTATTGATTATTCCCTAAGTATTTTTTGATACATACATACCTGTAATATTATTTAAAATATATTCCTTTAAATACATATTTGCATCACATATACCTAAATTTAAAAATTAATTCTAAATATTTATAGTATGCTTGGTAATATTTAGAAAGATTCTCTAGGATTTAAGGTCCACAAGGTCTAGATTTCTGGACTGGTTATTTCGCTGATGGTGATTAACAGTATATGTAATGTATGGCATGTTTTCTGTACTATTCAATCTCGTTTTGGTTGAGGATATACAGCGTTTCATATTATCCACTCTAGGTCCTACTCTAGGTGCAGGGACATTGTACCATTGCTTGAAATCAGGTTCCTCATAGGAGCTCTGTGTATAATAATATATGTGAGAGAAAAAACGTAATTCTTGATAAATTCAATTTTTGTAAACAAAGCTTGACACAAAGAGACCACTAAAATGTGTCGTGTGAATCTAATGTACAATGTGAATCTCCTAGAGATCCTTTTTGGGAAGCATTTCTAGCCTTTGATCTGGAGATTTTTGTCTCTACCAAACCACAGTGACTTAGATTAAATACAGCACAAATACAGTTAAGCTAAAAATAATGTAGAGCTACATATAAAACCTTGATTTTTTATGTTTAATATTTTAAGGTTGATAAAAAAAAGTTCTACTCCAGAATCAATAGAGCATTCCTATTAGGTTTAATTCAAAGGGATATTTTCTTCTTTGTAAGTTTGTTATTGGAATTAGATTTAAGCTTTCTCTCAGCCTTGACTTTGAAGAGAACATATCTTCTCTCACATATTTACTGGTTAGAATAAAGCCAAATTTTTCCTGCTTTACATGCAGGACAGAAATCATAATATTCAAATTGGGAAATTCTGTAAATATTTTTATTTTTAGAAATGCCCATGTTGGGACAGGTGCGGTGGCTCATGCCTGTAATCCCAGCACTTTGGGCGGCCGAGGCAGGTGGATCTCCTGAGGTCAGCAGTTCAAGACCAGCCTGGCCAACATGGTGAAACCTCGTCTCTACTAAAAATACAAAAATTACCTGGGAGTGATGGCGTGCACCTGTAGTCCCAGCTACTCAGGAGGCTGAGGCAGGAAAATCGTTTGAACCCAGGAGGCAGAGGTTTCAGTGAGCTGAGATCGCGCCACTGCACTCCAGCCTGGTGACAAAGCAAGACTTTGTCTAAAAAAAAAAAAAATGCCTAAGTTGCGTTCAGAGAATAAAATAATTGAAATAATCGATATGACTTTTTAAATCCATCCTATGATTTGTGTTAAAATATAAAAGAATCAGGTTTGAGTGGTTCACTGTTTATCATTTTATAGCATTATGAAGATTTGATTTTAACATGAATTTTTTTTTCTGACCTCAAAGCAGGAACAAGAAACAAGTTATACCATTCTGAGGGCAAGAGGCACAAATGTTACCATCAGTAGCCTCAAGCCTGACACTATATACGTATTCCAAATCCGAGCCCGAACAGCCGCTGGATATGGGACGAACAGCCGCAAGTTTGAGTTTGAAACTAGTCCAGACTGTATGTATTATTTCAATGCAGTCTAGAGGAGGGGGCAGGGATCTTGCAAAAGATGTCTGATCGTTTATTCTCACTGTTTCTAAGTTTTAAACAAATGTGATACATTTAAGGTATATTGCTTGGGACATTGCAATTTGCAGAGCCCTGTGTCTGTATACAGTATTTGTGTTTGTGTGGGTGTACATTTTGTGTTTCTTTTTTTCTTGTATGCAAATCAAACATATTCTAATGCCTGAAATGCTTCTGTTTTTTTTTTTTAGCCATAAATTGCTTTTGAGGAACATTATTTAATATAGTAACACACTTCCAGTGTCTGTCATTTCAGATATTCCAGGTTCATTGCGTGATTCAATGAACCACAAAAAAGAAACTTGCTGATCCATGAGAATCTTAATTTTGTTTTAATCCTTAACACATTCAATAGCATATCACAGAGAGAATAAGGATTTTCTAAAATGTGTTTTATCACTTCATTCACATTCAGAAGTAATTTGAATAGCCTGTTCCTTTAACCCCAAATTTGGCTAAAATTGGCCTAAAACTGGCAAACATTTTTCCAGTAACTTTTCTTTTTTTCAAATGAATTTTCTTCATACTTAAAAAAGCCCTTTGCTAAAATATAATTTTCAAAAAGGTAAAATTATGTCTATGGCACTAATATAAAATGAGTAGAAGTTAATGATTTTACTTAACTCATTTTTTTCTTTCTTTCTTTTTTTTTTTTTTTTTTTGAGACGGAGTCTTGCTCTGTCACCCAGGCTGGAGTACAGCAGAGCGATCTCGGCTCACTGCAAGCTCCTGCAAGCTCCGCCTCCTGGCTTCACGCCATTCTCCCCCTCAGCCTCCCGAGTAGCTGGGACTACAGGCGGCCGCTACCATGCCCGGCTAATTTTTTGTATTTTTGGTAGAGTCCAGATTTCACCGTGTTAGCCAGGATGGTCTTGATCTCCTGTCACCTTGTTAGCCAGGATGGTCTTGATCTCCTGACCTCGTGATCCGCCCGCGTTGGCCTCCCAAAGTGCTAGGATTATAGGCGTGAGCCACCTCGCCCGGCTGTTTAACTCATTAATTAATAAACAGATTAGCAAGAGATTAAAACCTGTGCTAAGAAAAACTTGAAGAACAGATACATAATTATGTGTGTGTGTGTGTGAGCGTGTGTGTGTGTGTGTGTGTGTGTTTAGGTAATCATAATATGCTAAAAATGTGCTAATATATCCCACACTGGTTAATATCCAATGAGGGTAATAAATGTAATGATTGAGGTCATCTTTCTTACAGGGCACAAACCAGTTGTCTTTCTAGTAAATAAGTGTTATTTCAATTGTTAAAGGAAAAAGGATATATATCACTATCAGTTTTCTACAACTTAAATTCACTGTTGTAAGGTAGCCTAGAAAGATGAGCAAAGATGCACACCCTTTAGAAATAGATTACCCAGGAAAGGTCTGACAATGCTCAACACTCTGCTGAATGGAATATAATAATCTTCTGACCATTCCCATTTCCCATTCTTCCCTGACACCTGTACTTCCCATTTTCTAGATAGTTAGTTCCTGACATAAAATCTCATTGTTACTGGTATATTTTTGTGTCCAAATTTGATACCTGATAAAAACTTTCAGGATTGACCTAAAAATATAAGAATCATTCTAGTTATATAGTATTTATTCCATCAAGTTTACTCATGTTGGAGTACATATTTTATGGCACACTTTCTGTCGGACAATTAGAAATGCTGCTTACAATAAGGAGCTATAAATTTCACCAGGTATTGAAATGTTAATGTTTTTAGAAATCATCTGCTCATAGCTGAACCATGACAATTCTACTCAAAGGAGAGCTGCCATCCTCAAATACGTAAATCTATTCTTAAAGACTTCTTTTAATCCTCACAATAAAATGTGTATGGAGAAATCACCCTCAGAAGATATTAGAAACAAAACATGAAGTATGATGGAAATAATGCAAGTGCCAACAAGGTTTAAAACAAATTAAAAACTTTAGATGGCTCAATAATAAAATATAAGTGTAACTTAACATTAGTACTTCTAAGACTTTTTGCAAATGTTAAGTGGTACGAAGAAAGTTTCTCCTTTTGAAATGATTACAGATTAACTTTTCTCAAAATCTCTTTCTTTTTTTGTGACAAAATCCTGCTCTGTTGCCCAGGATGGAGTGCAATGGCATGATCTCAGCTCACTGCAACCTCTGCCTCCCTGACTCAAGCAATTCTTCTGTTTCAGCCTCCCGAGTGGCTGGGACTACAGGCTCATGTGCCCACGTCTGGCTAATTTTTTTTGTATTTTTAGTATAGATGGGGTTTCACCATATTGGTCAAGCTGATCTTGAACTCCTGACCTCAGGGTGATCCACCCACCTCAGCCTCCCAAAGTACTGGGACTTAAATGAATATTTGAAATAACAGCAATAACAAAATCTATATTTGATTTATCAGGAGAGATCCGAAATCATAGAATTAGCAAAAGCTAATATTTATTGTGTCCTGTGGTAGAAATCAGGCATATTATGAGGCAAAAAGCTCAGATCACTATTAGATAAACATGTTTTATGCATATTTGGGAACATCCCTCTAATATTACATGGTCTTAACACTTAACCCTCTCTGATAAGTAAATTTGCAAAAACAATATATTTTAAAATTGTAATGTAATTCCAGATTTACCACAGATATTGCTGTGGTAGCATTTATGCATAACCTTCTAATGAGGCTTCAGTGTCTGAGGTTTAGGAAATATCTCATTCGAAAACTGCAGGGCCTTAGGATTTTTGCCAAGTAAGTTTTGTATTAGCAATGCTTCCATTGATTGAGAGAGAGAAGAGGAAAAAAGGATGGAAAAATATGAGCCTTTTTCTCCCTCCTCATTTATTTAAAAACTGTGAGTTACACATTTTAATCTTTTTACAAAAGTTAGTTTACTTTTGCCCTTATTTCACCATAATATTTCCAGATTTTAAATATAAATGAGAAAAAAATGCCTTTTGTCTTAGGAGGTAAAAGACAAAATTTTTTTTGTCTCACTCTCCCTATTGTTTTTATTAAATCAAAATGACATATTCCTAAATGCTGTAAGTATTTAATAAGACTCTTATTTGTTATATATTGATTTTTTTAAAAAATAGACATAAGACTTCTGTTTGTATTTAACAGTTTGCTTTTTCCCTCTCGTTTTAATATTTTATTTTATTTATGTATTTATTTATTCTTTTTTGAGACCAAGTCTTGCTCTGTCGCCCAGGTGGGAATGCAGTGGTGAGATCTCAGCTCCCTACAAAATCCGCCTCCTGGGTTCAAGCGATTCTATAGCTGGGATTACAGGCATGTGCCACAATGCCCAGCTAATTTTGGCATTTTTAGTAGAGACGGGGTTTCACCATGTTGGCCAGGCTGGTCTTGAACTCCTGACCTCAAGTAATCCGACTGCCTTGGCCTTCAAAAGTGCTGGGATTACAGGTGTGAGCCACCGTGCCCAGCCGGTTTTAATTTTGTAATTACATAAGAATGTCTCATTCATGACATGTATGCATATTTCTTGGTAGAACACAATGTATTTTGAGCTGGAATTTAGATAACATTTTCTGAACTTTATAGGGAAGAGATGGAGGCAGAGCAGAGCACATATTGTTTTCTAAGTGCTTTAAAATATCTTATTTTTGTATGTTGGTATTTTATATTTATTATCATCTTCATTTTACAGTTGAGGAAACTGAGACAAAGGGAGGTTAAGGAAGTTTTCCAAAGTCACACAATTGGCAAGGGATACATCAATTCCAGAATCCAGGTTTCTACATGACAGTATATAAAGCAGTATGATAAACATTTCATTTGATTCTGTTCTATAAGTTATTCAGATACTATTGTATCCTTTTATACATGATCCAAGATACAGATTTTGTGTGTTTTTTTTCTGAGTTTACATATGTAGTCAGATGGGGCAACAAACCTAGAATCTCCAGGTTTTGAAGTCTTGAACCGTGCAATTATTGCACATGAAAAAAAAAATACTAAGCTAAGACCCATAGAAAGCATGGAGTATAAAAGAGTAAAAGGATTTTCCTAGCATGAAGGTAGCTTCCACCAATACAAGAAGTACAGACATTAGGGCATGTTTGGAAAAGCAGATAGTCCAATTGTTTGGAAACCCTCAGTGGGGAAAAACTGAAGCCATGGTGTGTGCTTTGTGCACAAGAAAATCAGGGATAAAGTGAAAGTTAAGATCAAATACATTAGAGCAGCTGAGCATTATTAGGGTGAACTTGACAAGTCATTTCAAGTCTCCGTGTCTCAGTTTTTCTATCTGGAAATTGGGGAACATCATGTGATAACTCATGAGATTTTAATGTTTATTAAATATGTTATTACTTGTAAAGTGCTTAAAATAGTACCTCATATAGCCTCATATAGTAGGTACTCACTGTGCATGTGTGTTGTGTTTAA